>NC_000001.11:205608829-205760344 GCF_000001405.40 Homo sapiens
AGCACTCTTGACATGTTCTTACTACCACATATCCCAAACTAAGACATACACATAAAATAACATATCTCTCCTGTGTTAACACTGATGGAGACGCACTGCAATAGTCCCATGGCAGACATATGCTTTTCTTCTGAATTACAGATTGGCTTAATGAAAATTAAGAGTTTATTATTAAGCATCTTTTAATTTTTAAGTGATGTTCATACTTGACGGTTCAGAAACTGCCACTGCCACTGTGGTTAAATCACTTGGTGTATGGAATTTAAAATAATCTAACCTAGAGCTATTTCCCATTAATCAAACTCATCCCTAATTGTCTCTTAGGAAGGTCTTCTTTAAAGAAGATCGAGTAGGGCTCATGAAAAATTATTGGTTTGTTCTTCAAAATGCAAAGTTACATACCCTTATTTTTTAGCCAATTTGATTATTTGGTAAAGCAAGGGCATAATTTTAAGAAACTAATTTTAATCAAAAATTTTTACTTGCCTCAAACTAAAGCTAACCAGTAGCAAAATGACTGGACTGAATTTCATATTTAATCTTCCCTGCCCACAAAGATAAATGAAACTGCTCAAAGGCAAAAATAAAGAAATATAATTGTGATTAGAAAAGATCCAGGGCCAAAACAAATAAATAGGCCTCAAGGAATAAAAAATTAATTGTATTCGTTTCTTTTCTATCTTTACATATACGCATCTGTCAATTTCACTAATACTGAACAGGGAAGTTCATAAAAATGCTACTCTACCACTTAAACAATAAATGTAAGCAATGAATGTACATACAAAGGCCACTGGTTAATACTGCCCCAAGTAACAAAACAATGAAATGTCAGGATTGTGTCCCCTACACAATAGACAATAAGCAACAATGACCAAACAGAAAAGAAACTTAAAATTGGATACTTTATAAATTTAAGTGTAATCTATCAATTGCAAATTATTTTTAAAAATCGTAAATTTCTACAAAGCACAATATTAAAAGCTTGCAAATTATTTTAAAATATCCTAGCCAAAAGGGCATACCTTACAGAGCCTAGAAGAATGGCTCATTAGGTAACCCATTTATCCCTTCTACAAACACCCTATAAATTCCAGAAAACATAAACAAGAAATAAACCTTACTTCTCTGACCCTCAATATCCTTAAGTTGAAATTAAACAAACAAAATAATCATTAAGTGCTTCCAGTTATTAAAAATGAAACAGTGCTAATATTGGTGCCCAAGAAAGTGCCAAGTGATTAACACCAATATATGGCATTCCCACCCCTGAACTTTAGGCATTCTTGAATGATTCCATTGGCTAGAACTCTGGGCCAGCCACAGGAAACCCCCACCTCCTCCCCGACCCCATCCAGAAGATCCCAGGCCTATGTGAGCATGACTCACAATCCTTGGAAGGGAAAAGAACCAGAAGGAGCCTTTATGAGATGGGAAACAAGGCAAAGTTGAGAAGATCATTCAGCCCAAGACACTCCACTCTGAGGTTTTGGCTAATACTAATGACATACAGTTTAAAAGGATAAATTAGGCCACAATACCAGCATTCCTCCACTACTGTATTCAATCCATGGTCGAATCTCTGTACTTTAGAAATACTGCTTCCAGTATAAACCTCCTCTTTGAGAAACTTACAAACTAATAAAGATTTTACACAAAAGCAAACATAAATGTAGAAATTTTAAGAAAGGACATCCTTATTTGCTCAATAATACATGAACCTAAGAGAACAGTTTACTATGACTTTGTTTAGAGTATGTCACATGTAAGCAGTGTATTTCTAAAATGTTGGTGAGCAATTCATCTTTAAGGCCTACTGAAATGTGCAAAGCATTAATCTTTTAAAAAGTGGCAACTGCAAAGTGCAGCAAATTTTTTTAAGTTTTAGTATAAAATAGACTAGGAGCCATCAATGTATGTTCCCTATGAAAACAGATTTACACGCGCACACACACACACACACACATTCAGTCAATACATCAGTATATATGCATACACATACATTTACTAGGACAATAAATCAGAATGACTTGGAAAAAGAAATGGTCTAGTCTCCCAATTAAATATTTCAAAGTAAAGTTTTCAACCTCATAAAACTTCCTGATGTGGACTATACTCAAATGATTAGCACTCAAGAGATTAACTATGTTTGATTGTATCCCTCATGAATTTTCTTGTTAAAAGTTTCCTTTAAAATTATGTCAACAACAGCATGAATTTCCTGTTTTCTGTAGAAAGCTTAGAGCCAGTATTTCCCCTCTCATACAAACCACTCTGGATTTTCATATTTCACAATAAGTAAGTGTGGATGGCAGCACCTTAGAAATTGCTATTTTCTGGCAGGCTATCAATCTATCATAATTTTTTTCAGAGAAGTGACTTGAAGAAACTGACAGTTTCAAATGAAACAATTATACTACCATTAACGATTCACCTTTCAGATTTGCTCGGCTTACAGGTCAAAACATGACTTGTATAGTAACAGGTTCCACCAAGTACAAGAAATAAAATCAAACCACCTTCTTTTCTTAATACACGACCAACCACAAGAATTCTAGATCCTAAGATTAAACTTCAACTTCAGTAAGCAGAGTTCTGATGACATAAGAGGAATAACAGGGCACTTTGTTTCAGGCAATGCCAGCAACATTAAAACAATAACAAAACATTTGTTGATCCCAAACCAAGAATATAATTCTATTTTCCACAGAACCCAGTCTCTGGTTAGAGTACCTGCTGAAGAAAGACAACTATGGCTGACCTCCACACTTCACTTACACTACTATGGACTGAACAATTAACTTCTCAATACTATTTTAGAAATAATATATTCTATCATAGCTTCAGATGACACACTACATCATGAGTAGTATTTTAACTTTCCTATTGGTTTGGTAATTCATTTAGAGCCCCAGATTTCTGCACAGAGACCTGCATTGGTCTCCAAACTTGTTTTCATACCTAAGAATGGCACCTAAGCACGATTCTAGACTCCTGGCACGGGTAAATAAAACATATACAGTCAATGAGGTTAAAAACAGAACAGACCTATAAAGAAAAGTATTCCTTTAGTTGCTGAAATATCAGATTTTAAAAATCAAAAACTTATTAATGCAGCAAGAAAATGTAACTTGTTATATATTTTAACATAAAGCAACTTGAAATAATTCTAAATTTGTTGGTAAAATATAACATAAGTCCCAAAGAAGTCTGTGAGCAGACTAGTAAAATAAAAATAGAGTCATACCTAACATGAAGATAAGAGACAACAGGCTGACGAAAGTAATAGGAATAAAGCTGTGGAAAACATGTGGTAATGGATTATTATTTGGGAATTTATCAAAAAGAATTAATGTGAAATTTCAAAAGTTGACAATAAGCTCTCCTGAAAAACTCCAAATCTCTAGGATTTCTCCATATATCATAAGAGAGCATCATATATGTTTGGAGATTAGAATGAGAATATCCTGAGTCAGCAGTCTTTAGGAAAAGCGTGTGCTTCTGGAGGGTGCACAAGACAACCAACTGGGGTGTGGGAAGAAAATACTATAACTGCTACTCAAGAATTACTTTTTATGCCATCCTTCACTTCAATTTTTGTGTATTTTTTTATAACACACATATTACTTTGGTATAGCGGTATATAATTTAACATATACCCATATGAATTTTTAATAGGGAAAGTTTTTATGTTCAATAACTCTTACTGATCAATTTGTGTGTTCAAAAAGGCTGGACACTCCTTTTCTGAACCACTGCTTCAGAGGTATTGAGAAGTGGTACTGAGTGGCTCTAAATGTGCTTACATTCACCAAAAACATAAAAGGACACCTTTAAGAACTTAAGAATCATAGTAGAAAGTCAGATCAGGATGAAACAATGTTGTCAGACTGGACGTCACACAATGCAGGGGTGAATGGAACTGAAGTGATACTATCAACAGCCTGGAGTTACAGCTCCAGAATTCCAAACCTCTGATTTACTTAAGTCAGTCTTGACTTTTAAAATCTGTAATATAGTATGTAAATCTTCAAGGAATTTTCCAGTTAAAAAAAATCCAGTAGCCTAATAGAGGCTCATAGGTTTACTGTCCCTATCAAAATTTCAACTGTCAAAATGTGGGAAAAAATTAAACTCATATTTTAACTCTAAGAAGCTTACGGTTGACCTTTCAAGGGCCTCTAATTCTTTTTTTTTTTTCCTGACCGTACTCCTCAAAATCCAGATTGTTTGTGCATACATTTAAAAAAAAAAAAATCAATGGAAATTTCCACCTTTGTTCGAACACATAAAGTATGCCATGAGCAATATAACATCACAAACGTACTGTGACAAACCATTAATAAAGAAGGATTACTAAGCCAGGTGTGGTGGTGCATGCCTGTAGCCCAGCTATGCAGGAGGCTGAGGCAGGAGGATCACTTGAGCCCGGGAGTTTGAGTCCACCCTGGGTAACACACCAAGACTCCATCTCTAAAAAATTAAATTAAAGGATTACTGAAAGATCTCATTTCTAAAAAAAGAAAAAGAAAAAGATCACTGAAGTCAGACATGATATTTTAATTTTGTATTTTGAAAAGTCAGTATATAAATAAGAAAAAATTATTTTAGAAATTATGTGAAAATCCACTCTTGGGTGGAGTAAATGCAATGGTTTGCCAGCACTGGCTCTGAGCCAACTGTGCACATCCTTTCTGAACTCTAAGGTGGTAGCTTGAAATCAGCCACAGGAGGAGTAACTAATTTATATCAAAGAATTTGATATAAAATTCTAATTTATATTAGAATTTTATTTATAATTTATATTTGCAGCAAATGCTACAAATTCAGCGCTCCCCCCCACCCCCACCCCAGAGATCCTGGTTGTTAAACATTTCTAGCACACGACTGAGTGGATAGCGACCAGAGCAGAAGGAAAGCTAAGGTATCAGAGAAGATGTCTCAAAACCCCATTCAATCTGCTCCCCTTCCGTAACTTAGGCTACTGCTGCCCAACAGCATTCATCCTGGCAAAGTGACTAGGGATGGATACGAGCTACAGCTACCAATTACAAGTCTCTCCAGTGAAAACTGATCTGAAGTGGTACATCACCTTTCACACTAAGAATTCTGCATATATTCAACAGAATATGAAGCTGAGACTTTTCCAGGAAGGAGGTAGTCTATAAACAGAACTGTCTGCCTCATACACCTGCAGTAAGGTTGTAAACTTTGACTTAAAAAAGGATACGCACACACACACTTCTCCAAATTAGTTGATCTCAAAGAGATAGCAGATCACCAATCTGTGACAGCCTCACACCTCTGAGAGGCTATAGATTTATGCAAAAAGGACTCACTAAAATGGTTTACTAGGAAGTTGCTTCAACTGAGTTTCAATGGTGCCCTTGGTTCCAAGGTACCTCTGTGCTGAGACAGTTAATTATTAAAAATACTGTCTGTGAAAACAAATCAATGGCTTTTCTCCTTTAATTCAAAAAGATAAAATACCTTTGTGCTTTCAAAATTTAACACATCTAGTTAAATCAACCATCTATATCTACTTATTTAATGTACAAAATGTTAACCTAATTAAAACTATTTCAAAGTGCTGCTGAGAGGTCCAATTTCAAACAGGCATGCAAACTAAATAATTTAATATGGAAAAAAAAGTCCAATATGTCTGTTCCCCATCACTATTAAACAATACCTTTCAACACTACTATTGCACATCTCAGGAACAGAACCTTCAACTGATAACCACAAATGAACCAGTAACAAGTCTCCGACACTACAGATATAAAGGCAGCTCACTGAATATGTTCCCTCTACTACTACTAAGTTAGCTAGCATAGATGTCTTCTTATACAAGAGCTTCTCTACACTGTATATAAGCACATTTAAAGTAAATACCATGCATCTGAAGATGCTAGTTTGTAACAGTGTCAGTCTGAGCCTTCAAGTTCTTACTTCTTCATTTAGTTCATGTGATTCTACAGGATTAGAAGACGAGTTTAACCGGTGGGAGAGATTGGTGGGGGAGGGTGGTAGTGGTGGTGAATGGTGACAACATATAATTTAATCCTGGACTTTAATTTTCAAAAGACTCCACTGTGATACTGATATCAATTCAGTTTGGGGAACCAACAAATCTGTACCTGGCATTGATTACCATATAGTAATATTTTAAAAATTTGGTAATGTAGAGAATAAGGCCTACATTTTTTACTACTAATATGAACAATCCAATCCCTATGTATAAGCATTCCCAAATGAACTCTGCTCTTCCCCATTTAAAAAAAAAAAGTTGAAAGAAATAAGCACATCTGAGCCTGCGCCTTTGGGAGGCTGAGGTGGGCGGATCACAAGGTCAAGAGATCAAGACCATCCTGGCCAACATGGTGAAACCCCGTCTCTACTAAAAATACAAAAATTAGCCAGGCGTAGTGGCGCATGCCTGTAGTCCCAGCTACTCAGGAGGCTGAGGCAGGAGAATTGCTTGAACCCGGGAGGCGGAGCTTACAGTGAGCTGAGATCGCGCCACTGCACTCCAGCCTGGGTGATAGAGCAAGACTCTGTCTCAAAAAAAAAAAAAAAAAAAAAAAAAGGAAATAAGCACATCTTCGCTCCTGACTGGGGAGGCTTCACTTTGAATTCTACCTTCCTAACTGCATCTTTAAAACTATCATAACCTCTAACAACCTTAAACATAAAGGAAAGGTGATAAATGTATAGTAGAAAATGAGGTAAAATGAACAGGAAAAAGACAGGTCCTTCACTTGGTTATCTTCTAATTGAGAAAACCACTACATGTTGTTTCAAGTTATCTGATCGAATCTTTTACTCAGAGATGTTTCAAATATTCAAAATCCAAGTTCATCCTCCTAAAAGTGATCATTTCCCATGCTGTATTCCATGGGCATATAATCATACCACCCAGAGGGCAAAGAGCATTTCTGTGCTAGATGTGAGGTCCCATATTCTTACTAGGTGTTCCAAAAACTGTCTTAAACCCCAGGTCTAAAAATCTTTCTATAGTGAAATAGACTAGCTCCATGCTCTGTTGACAGGTTCAGACAGGATCATACATATGGCTAAGAGATCCACCCTGAATAAAGGTAAACAAGATGCCTTTTCATGGAGTTGCTTACACGTTATAGTTCACACAAAACAATCTCCCCAGTATGACTGCTCCAATCTTACTTTGTATGAATAGGAATGATTCTTCTTCTTCCACTGCTTAGGAACAGCTCACTTTAAGTCATTCAACAGAGCACACTTAGTCCTAAAGATGCCAATTCATTTCACAAATATTTCTTTAAATAATAGATTCTAAGCATAATTTTTCCTGGCCAAAGGGTCCCAATAGCCAGAAGGAGTAACTTTGTTCTTAATTGCTTTTGCAAAGCACAGTCACTAAAGCCCACCAAAAACTTCTTCAGCACAAAGCTCAAAATATTTTTAAAGGAGAAAAGAAAAGGAAGGAAGGAAAGAAAAAGAAAAGGAAAAGACAGAGGGAGGTGGAGTTTAGACTCCAATTAAGGCATTTTTATACATATAGTCCAACTTGAGTCCTATTCAAAGAGAATCCTAAAAAGATGTTTTCAATGGGGAATGGCAAAAATCACAATAGTCTATTATCAGCATTGTAGAACTATCAATTGCTCACTTCAAATGCAATCATGTTGAATGTCTGTTTCTTCGTTCCTCGGTTCTCTCATTCCACAAGTGCATAGGTTATGTCTTCTGTAGGTCTGGGGAAAATGGGCCAGGGGTGGAAGGTCCATCCAGCCCAGACAGAGTGAATGGCCCATGACTGTTCAGTACAGAAGGAAACTGAGAAAGAAAACAAAACACATTATCATCCTATTACTCAACCCCAACTTTTACTTTCTATCCTACTCTATTACCTGAGGCAAAACACAACAGCCTTCTGTAATGGCTCACAGGACAAAGGCAGTGGCTGTTTATCATGAAAGAATATGATGTCATAACAAAAACTAGAAACAAAAATCTTTTGTCCTAACATATTAAATATTAACATTCTCCAACTTACCTCAATGGAGTAGAAACAAAGAACAACCTGTACCCTCCTTCATATCCTAAGGTACACAGGTTTACAATTAACCTCAAATGAAGGTTTTAGAAAGTTCAAGTAAATGACAATATGCACTACAGAGTGTAATTCAATTATGGAGCAAATCATAAACCCTCAAAAAGAGATCCAGAAAGGTATAAATAGCACTCATCCTAGAAAAGGGTTCCCCATCAAGTATTCTGAGGCCAGCTCTACAGGGAGATTCCAGGCTGAAGCTACAGGAGCACTATGACTTTGCTTAAGGTCTCAGCTGACTCTATAACTCAATTATCTGCTCATGTGTGGCAATGAAAAAAAATATGAAAAATTCTCAACTTTTTTTTCTATTCAATAATTTTAAACGTTGGCAAAAAATAAAAAGCAGAGAGATTTTTAATTTTCCTCTTTTTCCCTACCATTTCATTTCTAAAAGAATGAGAAGTTAAATTACAAAATATAAGAAAATCAGAGATAGTCAACCATGAATAAGTAAATGAATTGACTCCAAGAAAGTCTTTAAGTTATAACATCTAAGTGTTTTGGGCAAAATAATGGCTAAACCCATTAGGAATGGCAAGAACTTTCCTAACGTCTTGGTGAAGAGATAATATTCATTTTTTTAAAAATGTACATATAAAATGTTGATAAATTATCAATTCTGACTGAGGGAGAAATGGGACTGTTTGATATACCATTTTCAAGACCTTTCTCTATTAAAAAAAAAAAAATGCTTGGGCCGCGTGCAGTGGCTCATGCCTGTAATCCCAGCACTTCGGGAGGCTGAGGCGGGCGGATCACCTGAGGTCAGGAGTTTGAGACCAGCCTGATCAACATGAAGAAACCTCGTCTCTACTAAAAATACAAAATTAGCCTAGCATGGTGGCACATGCCTATAATCCTGGCTACTCGGGAGGCTGAGGCAGGAGAACCGCTTGAACCCAGGAGGCAGAGGTTGCAGTGAGCTGAGATCGTGCCATTGCATTCTGGCCTGGACAACAAGAGCAAAACTCCGCCTCAAAAAAAAATTTTTTTTAATCTTTAATTAAAAGAGGGAACCTATGTGCAGAGATCCCCCATATATGTGTGTGTGTGTGTGTGTGAGAGAGAGAGAGAGCAAGAGAGAGAGAGAGAGTGTGTGTGTGTGGATTTTGTTTTTTTGAGACAAGGTCTCACTGTGTCACCCAGGCCGGAGTGCAGCGGTGCCATTATAGCTCACTGCAGCCTTGATCTACTGGGCTCAAGCGGTCCTCCCACCTCAGCCTCCCAAGTAGCTCTAGGGGCCACAGGCACGTGCTACCATGCCTAACTTAATTTTTTTTATTTCTAGTACAGACAAGGTCTCCTTAGGTTGTCCAGGCTGGTCTCAAACTCCTGAGCTCAAGCAATCTTCCTGCCTCGGCCTACCAAAGCGCTGGGATTACAGGCATGACACACACACTGCCTGGCCCATTTTTTTTTTTTAAATAGAGAATTTCTAGTGACAAAAACTTGGGGTAGGCTCTAAATCTCCTACAGTATTGAACAATTCTTGGTCTAACTCAAATGTATGTAATAGTAAATAATGAAAATGAAACTTTGCTATATTTATTCAAGCTGTTTGCCAGCTAGAAAATTAATATTTGGAAATTCAAAAATAAATCTAAAGAATATTCATTGGGCAGGGCACAATGGCTCATGCCTGTAATCCCAACACTTTGGGAGGCCAAGGTGGGCGGATCACCTGAGGTCAGGAGTTGGAGACCAGTCTGGACAACATGGTCAAACCCTGTCTCACTAAAAACACAAAAATCAACCAGACGTGGTGTTGCACACCTGTAATCTTAGCTACTCCGGAGGCTGAGGCAGGAGAATCGCTTGAACCTGGAAGGTGCAGGTTGCAGTGAGCTGAGATTATGCCACTGCACTCCAGCCTGGGTGACATGGTGAGGACTCCATCTCAAAAAAATAAAAAAAGAATATTCATTAAATAGAAGTTTTATAATGATTAAACTGAATAGTGGGACCCTGCCTTTTTGCCTCTTTCTTCATTTAACATGCTCCAACTACAGAAGACAGATATTTATAAAATTACCTGGAAAAGTGTGTTAGCACCTTGCAGTCTGGCTGGACTTAGGGGAGCAACAGGACTGAGAGTACTCCAGAAGTGGATACTGGAGAGCAAGGGGCTTGGAGTCAGTATGATGGGTGTCTGCAATACACAAAGCAAAAATATTCACTGACTGACTTACCAGGATGTTTTATCCTTGAAACAGCACACAAATAACCCAAACCTAAATATTGCCCTATCCTCCACTCCAAATATCTCCAAGTCTGAAATATTATCATGACAAAACTCAAAAATTATTTTTACAAACTAAGAGGGATAAAGGTGATAATAACTACTTAAAATTTTTTAAATTTTTATTTCAATAGTTTTTGGGGGTACAAGTGGTTTTTGGTTACATGGATGAGTTCTTTGGTGGTAAATTCTGAGATTCTGGTGCTCAACCTCTTTTTAAGCCAACATTTATAAAGTCTTTTCCAAATAGAAAAACCAACCTGAATTCAGGTACAGAGGAATAATGGGTAACCAAGACACCAGCATGTTTGTTTTTTTTTAATAATGAGGTGTGTGAAAAATCTACTAAAATGTTCTATGAGATGAGCAAGTTAATAAATAGCTAAAGTAACTGTACCAACTTGTTACTCAACATCACACCAGTCATTTTTCTTATGGTTCTCAGGACCTACTGTTTTCTAACTTGAGATTATCACTGTTTGTTTTATAAGACACCAACGAGTTTTATAAGACCGAGAGAGAGCGAGAGAGTGTGTGTACTTTCTTTAGGAGGAAATAGAAAAATCAAAATATTTATTTACTTGTAGAACAATGAATTTTTTAAGAAAATACTCCAAACTTTCTATTTTAGCAATCCTAATTAAGATGAGAAATGGGGTAACTTTCACATGACAGTCACACATAACCTTTCTAAGACAAACCTAAGTAACAGAAAGCAAACTTGAGTGTATAAATTCTGGATTTGCTTAAAAGGGCAAATAAATGAAAGCAATGGTGACACCATAAAGAGCGAGCAAGCTACCTGTGAAAAAAATGCTGGTGTAAGAGAAGCTGTAGGGAGAGATGGGCTCAGTATTCCCAGTGGGCTTGGATCACTGCTCGTGATCACAAGGGTGGGTGCCAGTTCTAACCCTTTGGGTTTCTTGGATCTTGATGAATTATTTACTTTGTCCTTTTCTAGCAAGACTGAATCCTGGTCTTTAGGCTCCAGTGACAAATTCTCTGGAAGTTCCATTGGCTGAGAAGCCACTGAATCAATGTCTGTGTCGATGTCTGGGTGAGAACTCAGTGGTGGTGAAGGTGTTCTGGGAGGTTCCTGCAAAGGGGGTATGGACGAAATGGGTGGTGTGGTGGCAAAAGCAGTCATTACGTTAGAGGCAGAGGTTGGGGCTTCCAGGGAAGGCAGTTTTGGGGAAACCAATGTCTCCAAAGCTTGGATAGTTTCTTCTGAAGATGGAGAAATACTTGGGCCAATTGAAATGGTGGCAGCAACAGGTTCAACCGGTGGCTTTTTGGAAGGTGTCGTGACAAATTTGATGACAGATGGTGTGGGCTCCTGAGGAGATTTTTTCTCTGCCAGTTTCTCGGCTGGATTCTCAGTCTTTATCAATTTGAAAAGCTTTACATTGGAGGAGTTCAAAGAGTTGAGAGTAAATGAAGAATATAAGCCAGAGTGTATGTAGTCATTGCGGCTAGAGGTCTTGGCACCAGGCTGAGGTGGTTTATCTTTCCCTCCATTCTCCACATCTTTGGAACTGCTGCTGACTTCACTGAAGTTTAAACTTTCACAGTCACCCTCAATCCTGCCCACTGTCATTGGATCCATGTTCAAAATCTCTGGATAAGAGACAAACTTGTACACAAACTTCTGACCATTCACTTTTTTGATGATATTCTGTAGGTTAAAAAAAAAAGCATTTTTATCCTTTCTTATAAACTTATATCCCATAGTTCATGAAAAAGCTGGCATCGGCCAGGCACAGTGGCTCATGCCTGTAATCCCAGCACTTTGGAAGGCCGAGGAGGGCGGATCACGAGGTCAGGAGATTGAGACCAGCCTGGCCAACATGGTGAAACCCCGTCTCCACTAAAACAGAAAAAATTTGCAGGGCATGGTGGCGTGCGCCTGTAGTCCCAGCTACTCAGGAGGCCGAGGCAGGTGAATCCCTTGAACCCGGGAGGCGGAGGTTGCAGTGAGCCAAGATCACACCACTGCACTCCAGCCTGGTGACAGAGCAAGAGTCTGTCTTAAAAAAAAAAAAAAAAAAAAAAAAAAGAAAAAGCTGGTAATGAGGTTCTCCATTTTAGAAGTAGACATCACTTACTTAAAACTTTCAAAATCACCTAAATTCATCTAGCCATACCAAACACAGTCCCTACTATTATGGAGAAGTTAAGGCAAGAACATTTAAATGTCTTATTAACAACTGAACTAATATGTTACATAAAAACTGAAGGATTTTAATTGCTTACCACTCTCAACCAAATATCTGTGCAGATTAGAACTCCCTGAACTGCAGTCTCAAACAATTCCAAAGGTATAAGCCATACACATCCTGAGTAAGCAAAAAGGAATTTATTTACTTATTTTTTTGAGATGGAGTCTCACTCTGTCACCCAGGCTGGAGTGCAGTGGTGTGATCTCAGCTCACTGCAACCTCTGCCTCCTGGGTTCAAGCAATTCTCCTGCCTCAGCCTCCCAAGTAGGTGGGATTATAGGCACACATCACCATGCCCAGCTAATTTTGTATTTTTAGTAGAGATGGGGTTTTGCCATGTTGGCCAGGCTGGTCTTGAACTCCTGACCTCAACTGATCCACCCACCCCGGCCTCCCAAAGTGTTGGGATTACAGGCGTGAGCCACCGCGCCCGGCTGTGAAAAAGGAATTTAGAACATAGTATCTGTTAAGGTTCTTACTTCCTTCAGAAATTCCAGTTTATCTCCAGACAGGAAAGCTGGTAAGATCAACCACTTAATGGTGAAAGAGCCCTGCACAGTGGCTCACGCCTGTAATCCCAGCACTCTGGGAGGCCAAGGCAGGTGGACTGCCTGAGGTCAGGAGTTCAAGACCAGCCTCCCGTAGAGATGGTGAAACCCCATCTCTACCAAAAATACAAAAATTAGCCAGGTGTGGTGGTGCATGTCTGTAGTCCCAGCTACTCGGGAGGCTGAGGCAGGTGAATCACTTGAACCTGGGAGGCAGAAGTTGCAGTGAGCTGAGATCACGCCACTGTGTTCCAGCCTGGGCAACAGAGCAAGACTCCGTCTCAAACAAACAAACAAAAAAAAGTGAAAGAAATTAAGATCTCAGCAATTTTAACTAAAAAACCAACTCTGTGTATAAACAGCTACTACTTAAGGTATAAGGTTTTAATTTGTGTTCCCTGGGTTAAACTAAAACTAAAAATTAAGATATAAAACGTATATATGTAGATATATGTGTGTGTGTATATGTACATATATGACTTTTCTCCCCAACAAGACAGGGTTCTCATGGAGTGCAGTGGTGTGTGATCATGGCTCACTGCAGCCTCAACCACTTGAGCTTAAGTGATCCTCCTGCCTCAGCCTCCTGGGCACTGGGACTACAGGTGTACACCACCGCGCCACACTGTTTTTTGTAGAGACGGGGTCTCCCTGTGTTGCCCAGTCTGGTCTCAAATTTCTGGGCTCAAGTGATCCTCCTGCTGCAGCCTCCCAAAGTGCTGGCATTACAGGCATGAGCCACTACTCCAGGCTTCACAATTTTTAAAGTAAATTATGACACACATGAGAATATTTACTTATCCTCAAGAATCTCAAATTGCCTTTGTCATATTCCAATTCTGTACATATTTTTTCTTTTAAAGACAACTGTAATTAGGAATAAAATATGTGTAATGGGAGTAAGTTAATAAATAAAATCTGGGGCAGCTGGCTGTGATGGCTCACGCCTATAATCCCAGCACTTTGGGAGGCCAAGGCAGGTGGATCACCTCAAGTCAGGAGTTCAAGACCAACTTGGCCAACATGGTGAAACCCCACCTCTACTAAAAAAATAAACAAATAAATAAATAATAAAAAATTAGCTGGGCGTGGTGGTGGCCACCTGTAATCCCAGCTACTTGGGAGGCTGAGACAGGAGAATAGCTTGAACCCTGGAGGCAGAGGTTGCAGTAAGCCAAGATCGCACCATTGCACTCCAGCCTGGGCGACAGAGTAAGACTCCGTCTCAAAAAAAAAAAAAAAAAAGAAGAAGATTTGGTAGAGATTCAGCCGGAACATTTATACCTTGTATCCTAATTCCAAACTGCTGAAGCTACAAAATACACTGGATTAAAATAAACTAGGAAATTGGTATCTATAACCTCAACAGAAAACAAGGAATCTTTTTTTTTTTTTTTTTGAGACGGAGTCTCACTGTCACCCAGGCTGGAGTGCAATGGCACAATCTTGGCTCACTACAACCTCCGCCTCCCGGGTTCAAACGATTCTCCTGCCTCAGCCTCCTGAGTAGCTGGGATTACAGGTGCCCACCACCACGCCCAGCTAACGTTTTTTTTGTATTTTTGGTAGAGACAGGGTTTCACCACATCGGTTAGGCTGGTCTTGAACTCCTGACCTCAGGTGATCCACCCTCCTTGGCCTCCCAAAGTGCTGGGATTACAGGCGTGAGCCACTGTGCCCAGCCAAGAAGGAATCGTTCTTGTCTGGAGGTTCTCTGTATAGTATAAGATCAGGATGTGTACTACCTTTACATAATAGTATCTGAGGGCTCGGCTGAGTTTGTCATAATTCATGTTAGGCTTGTTCTTGCGAATCCCCCAGAGACGAGCCACCTCTTCTGCCTGCAAAAGCTTAAACTGCCCATCATTAGAGGTCCAACAGATCATGTGCTTGTTCTGAGGCTTCTGCAGGAGCTGAAGAAGGAACTGCCACAGGGTGATAGCACTGTCCATAGCAATGAGCTGAAAGAATATAGATAAGATATGTGATAATATTAACAGCCAACACCTATTTAACACTGTATGTCATGCACTGTTTTAAGTGCTCTAAATGTATTAATTCATCCCCACATTTCTATAAGGTAGATACTACTGCATCCTCATTTTACGTAAGAAAAAACTGATTCATAAGAGGGTTAAGGAACTTGTACAACATCACACAAGTAAACGGTGAAGCTAAGATCTAAGCCCAGGCAATCTGGACCCAGAATCCAAACTCTTAAGGATGCCACGCTGCTTAAGAAATGTCTTAAGCAACAAGCAACTTGCAAGGAGGATAAAGCTAGTTCCCTAAATTATAGGAAAAAACAATGATTGTCAATCACTAGTGACTGTCAATCACTGTTGTTAAATTTGAATCCTAAAATCTCATTGCTGTATTCTCTCAGGAGACCACCATTCCAGCATCTGTCTAAATCAACCCGGTTTGGTTATCTGCCTGTGAGTGTATGTGTTTGTGTCTATCTCAGGGTGGCCCAGGGACTGAGGTGTAGGGAATAATCTACTTTTGCTCCAACTGGTTTCCATCACCATAAATGTCATTTACATACAAATTGGCAGCATTTTGAATTCAGCAAAGTGTTCTCTTTTCTGTCACTGTTCTGTCCACAGTGATTCCATCTGCAAAGATTCTCCTTTGATTAGCAATCTTTATGTGATTATCAAGGCATGGATTGAAGAAAAATATTTTAATATCTTAAGTTTCAGGATCTCCCTGTTTAGGCCAGAGTTTCTCAATTTTGGCATTATTGGTTTTGGGGGCCAGATAATTCTTTGTTGTGGGAAGCTGTCCTGTACACTGCAGTTTGTCTAACAGCATACCCGGCCTCTACCCACTAGATGCCAGTAGCACCGCCTGCCCCATTGAGACCATCAAAAATATCTCCAGACACTGCCAAATATTCCCCCAGGGGTCAAAGTCATCCCGGTAGATAACCATTGGTTTAGGCAAAGGAGCAGCAAGGAATGCTCTCTCATAAAGGTATTTTCCTCATACAATTTCAAAACACCTTTCTATTAGGAAGAATTCTTTAGGGCAGAAACTCTGGCCAAATCCGTATAAGTGTGTCCTAAGAATCTTATGATTGAATACTTCACACACACAAAAAAAAACAAAAACAAAAAACCTTCCTTTCTCTAGTAATGAGATCTCAATGGGTTAGAATAGAGTTTGAAAACAAATTATATCAATACCATTAAAACACTACAAGAACAGATCAAAACTGGACTACAACAAAATTTAAAATTGTTGTGCTGCAAATAATGCCATCAAGTGAGAAGACAATCCCCCAAATGGGAGAATATTTTCAAACCATGTATCACAAAGGGAGCCTGCATCCAAAATATATTAAAAAACGCCTACGACTAAAAAAAAAAAAGCAAAGAATTTGAAAAGACATCATAGCAAAGAAGATATACAAATAGCCAATAAACACACGAAAAAATGCTCTACATTGGCTGAATCTGCCTACTTGTCGCCACTATCACTGCCACCCACCTCCCGGCTCCCCCAGGTTCCTTCAGCCCAGCCTAGTTCAGCCGGGTTCCCAACAGGATGAAATTCGTGTACAAAGAAGAGCATCCGTTCAAGAAACGGGCGGCTCCGAGAGCAAGAAGACTGGAAAGAAATACCCGGACCGGGTGCCGGTGATAGTAGAAAAGGCTCCCAAAGCTCGGATAGGAGACCTGGACCAAAAGAAATACCTGGTGCCTTCTGATCTCACAGCTGGTCAGTTCTGCTGCTGCTGCTTCTTTTTTTTTTTTTTTGTGAGATGGAGTCCCACTCTGTCACCCAGGCTGGAGTGCAGTGGCGCAATCTGGGCTCACTGCAACCTCCGCCTCCTGGGTTCAAGCGATTCTCCTGTCTCAGCCTCCCGAGTAGCTGGGATTATAGGTGCATGCCACCACGCCCAGCTAATTTTTGTATTTTTAGTAGAGGTGGGGTTTCACCATGTTGGTCAGGCTGGTCTTGAACTCCTGACCTCATGATCCGCCTGCCTTGGCCTCCCAAAATGCTGGGATTACAGGCATAAGCCACTGCGCCCGGCCCAGTTCTACTTCTTGATCCAGAAGCGAATTCATCTCCGAGCTGAGGATGCCTTGTTTTTCTTTGTCAACAATGTCATTCTGCCCACCAGTGCCACAATGGGTCAGCTCTACCAGGAACACCATGAAGACTTCTTTCTCTACGTTGCCTACAGTGACCAAAGTGTCTACAGTCTGTGATGCTGCTACCCCTGAGCTGGAAGGGGGGTCTCATTCTACAGAGAGGTGGCCTCCCTTTCTTGACCTCCTCCTCCAAGCTCAAACACCACCTCCCTTATTCAGGACCGGCACTTCTTAATGTTTGAGGCTTTCTTTCCAGCCTCTCTTAGGAGGGGTAATGGTGGAGTTGGCATCTCGTACCTCTCCTTTCTCCTTTCTTCCCCTTTCTCTGCCCGCCTTTCCCATTCTGCTTTAGACTTCTTGATTGTCAGTCTCTGTCACATCCAGTGATTGTTTCAGTTTCTGTTCCCTTTCTGACTGCCCAAGGGGCTCAGAACCCCAGCAATCCCTTCCTTTTACTACCTTTTTGGGGGGTAGTTGGAAGGGACTGAAATTGCAAGGGGAAGGTAGGAGGCACATCAATAAAGAAGAAACCACCAAAAAAAAAATGCTCTACATAATTAGTTATTAGGGAACTAAAAATCAAAACCATCTGAGAAACCACTTCATGCCTACTTGGAAGGCTATAATCAAGACAGACAGACAATAACAAATATTGGCAAGGATGCAGAGAAATTGAAGCCCTTGTACATTGCTGGTGGGAATGTAAAATGGTGTAGCCACTTTGGACAAGTTTAATACATGACTCAACAATTCTACTCCTAGGTATATACCCAAAAGAAATGAAAACATACATCCATACAAAAACTTACACAGGACTGTTCATAGCAGAATTATTCATAACATCTAAAAAGTAGAAACAAACTAAATGTCCGTCAACTGATGAATGGATAAATAATATGTGGCACATTCATAATGGGGTATCATCCAGCCACAGAAAGGAATGAGGTACACACACACACAAGGACAAACCTTGAAAACATTATGCAAGTGACTAATAGAAGCCAGTCCACAAAAGACCACATATTGTATGTTTCCACTTATATGAAATGTCCAGAATAGGAAAATCCAGACACAGAAAATAGATTAGTAATTATTTAGGACTGGGGGCTAAAATGCGGGGAAGAGAAGTGGGGAATGATAGAAAATGGGTACAGGGTTTCTTTTGGGGGTGATGAAAATATTATAAACTTAGGCAGGGCGCAGTGGCTCACGCCTGTAATCCCAGCACTTTGGGAGGCCGAGGTGGGCTGATCACAAGGTCAGAAGATCGAGACCATCCTGTCTAACACAGTGAAACCCCGTCTCCACTAAAAATACAAAAAATTAGCTGGGCGTGGTGGTGGGCGCCTGTAGTCCCAGCTACTCAGGAGGCTGAGGGAGGAGAATGGCGTGAACCTGGGAGGCAGAGTTTGCAGTGAGCTGAGATTGCGCCACTGCACTCCAGCCTGGGTGACAGAGCGAGACTCCGCCTCAAAAAAAAAAAAGAAAAGAAAATATTATAAACTTAGATTGTGTTCATGCTTGCACAAAACCCACAGCATATTACACCTAAGGAGGTGAATTTTATGGTATGTGAATTATATCTCAATAAAGATTTTTAAAACAAACAACACAACAAACACTATAAAAGTTAGGTCTGGGAAGACTAATTCTAACAACATTTAACTCACAGAAGATGGGATTCTTAAGGGTCAACTATACCTACTTCCAAAAAGGGCAGAGATAAGAAACTGTAGTGGAAAATAGTTGGGTTTCTATAACTTTTCTGAAACACTCAAAATGTCCTCCAGTAATCCTCACGATTATCACTTTGAAGCTGGTTGTACAGAGACAGTCACCTAAAAGTAACGATGGGAAAATAATAAAGGATAGAAAGGGAGAGATGCTGCCCACAGTCAGAATTCATGGAAAAGCTGAGGCCATGAGTCCCAAGTCTCTTTCATCACAGTCATGTACTCTGTCCATTAGGGAAACCACTTTCCAAATAAATAAAAGCACTCATATCGCTAATTGATTGTAAAAAAGCATTACATATTAGATACCGATAATAATCCACAAATATGAAGTGCTACCTTAATGCCAAATAACCATGCCCGCTAGAAATCGGTTCCCCATAGCCTCACTTAAGCGGGGCTAAAATAGCGGTTTTATACTACGGCCATTAAGTATGGTGGAAGCAGGCAGGGATTCCCTGTTATGTCTCTTGAGTTTACCTGACAGGCCTTTCTTCTGATGATGCCTAATGATGGCAAGTTACCGTTCTACTACAGTTTTCCCACTTAAACAATTATTTCTAATCTAATCCTGTTAAAACTACTCTCTAGTAAATGTTATCTTAAGCCAAGAACTCAATTTCCACATTTCCAGACATCACCTTCATATAAGACTGCTTATAGGGGTGGAGTATGAATCCATTCGTGAGATGATGAAGGAAAGACAGAGAATGGGAGTCTCTAGCCTACACAGATGTGGTGCCTATTATTCCATTTGTTTTTGAAAAAATTCCAACACCCGGATCCTAGAGTCTTAATACCTATTATGTAGATAACATTTCAGCCCTACAAGTTTAAAGCCTCAGCTATACATCTAAAGACAAAAACAACAAATTAACGTCTCCATAATGAGCACCCAAGGAGACTCCCCAAAATAACAGGTGTTCCCCAGATGGTACAGGTTTAACTTGCACCTTCCCTGTTGGTTATCAGTGGAGCAGCATGTATTTAGTCAAACACTGGTGAGCTGTTGGCTGCTTTAAGGTAGAACCGAGCTGTTGTGGAAAATGCTGATGCTTATTTAGCAACTACAGTGTGTCTACGATAGAAGGTTGAGGACAGTAAAAAAAAAAAAATGGCTTTGGCCGGGTGCAGTGGCTCACGCCTATAATCCCAACACTTTGGGAGGCCGAGGCAAGTAGATCACGAGGTCAGGAGATGGAGACCATCCTGGCTAACAAGGTGAAACCCCCGTGTCTATTAAAAATACAAACAATTAGCCAGGCGTGGTGGCGGGTGCCTGTAGTCCCAGCTACTCGGCAGGCTGAGGCAGAATGGCGTGAACCCGAGAGGCGGAGCTTGCAGTGAGCCGAGATCGTGCCACTGCACTCCAGCCTGGGCAACAGAGCAAGACTACGTCTCAAAAAAAAAAAAAAAAAAGAAAAGAAAAAAATGGCTTTGAGGTTTTAGACTGAAGTATTAGAAATGAATTTTGAGAAAAAGATATAAAGTGGACATTTTCACTGGGTACTTTAAAGGAATATTTTATTAATTCAATTATGATATCGTTATTCTTTTGATTGAAAAGCAGCCAACGTCTTCTTACATAGTTAAGTCAAAACTCTTCATTTTAGTTTCAAAAAGTGTGGTATTAACAATGATCTTCAATGATTTCATCAGATATAAAAGAGAGCTGGCCGGGCACAGTGGCATACGCCTACCATCCCAGCACTTTGGGAGACCAAATCGCTTGAGGTCAGGGGTTCTAGACCAGCCTGGCCAACATGGTGAAACCCCGTTTCTATTAAAAATACAAAAATTACCTGGGCGTGGTGGTGGGCACCTGTAATTCCAGCTACTAGGGAGGCTGAGGCAGAAGAATCATTTGAACCCAGGAGGCGGAGGTCACAGTGAGCTGAAATCACACCACTGCACTCCATCCTGGGCGACAGAGCAAGACCCTGTCTCAAAAAATAAATAAATAAAATAAAAGCTAAAGAAAAAAAATCCCCTAAGACAGTTATTAAAAATTATGTGGTTGCTTCATGCCTGTAATCCCAGCACTTTGGGAGGCCAAGGGGGGAGCTTGAGCTCAGGAGTTCACGACTGGCCTAGGCAACATGTTGAAACCCTGTCTTTACCAAAAATACAAAAAATTAGCCGGGTATGGTAGTGCGTGACTACTCGGGAGGCTGAGGTGGGAGAATGGCCGGGAGATGGAGGTTGCAGTGAGCAGACACCACATCACTGCACTCCAGCCTGGGCAACAGAGTGAGACCTTGTCTCTAACAAAAACAAAAACACAACAAAACAAAACCAAACAAAACCTTTTATTCTTGTTACCTATCAAAAAAAAAAAAGAGGCTAATTACTTGATTTTCCTTCTTACAGGAATCCCGAGTTTTCCACAATTGCAATTTTTAAAGTTTAAAGTTATAACAAAGGAAGAAAACACTTAACTGGTCCAAATGAAGGTATTTGATTTTTGAGGGGGTAAAGGCTGAAAACATAATTGATTCTATTTTAACACTTCAAAGATAGACCAATCCCTGTCCTAAATTGAAAGGGAGCATGTTGAAGTAATGTATTAAGGAAAGGAAGTCTCTATTAAATAAAACCTTTTCCACCCTAAACATGTTTATAATACACACAGTCCAGTTGCTGTGGTGACCCATAGCCCAACTATTTTTCAGAGACAGTAGCTAAGACCCAAAAAAACACAAAGTCTCCAAATTTTCTTCAGCCTGCTACTTAAAAAACCAAGTTATGAATGTATCAAGCCTAGTTTCGAATCAAAATACTCACCGTTGTCAAAAAGTAACCAAAAGTAACATGACGTTTTTAACTACACAGGCTCCTAAAAAATACTCTTTGTATAGGATCCTGCACAGTTCTTACAATATTCTTACAATAAAACTTAAAGACACTACCTCACTAGGAATGAACAGATTCCACTTACGCAGTTTTAATGTTTAAGTAAAATCAAAGAGAAGAGTGTTCCTGAAGGGAAAATATTGAATCATACTACATTTTAATGAAAACACCGCTGCCAAACCTAAATATTGAAGCACCAAGTTTTCCAAGCCAGGGGGTGTAGGGGGTGGGAAAAGACGACAGAGGATCTGATCTATCAACCAAAGAGATGGACAAACCATTCTGATGAGGCATAGAACTCCAGAATCTTTATTTAAATTCCCCAAATTTCAAATAGCAATAGCTGGAGAAAAAGTGAAGTGTGTACTTTTGACTACTTCAGTCAACAACATCCCTATTTCCTTCCAAGGCCAGTTACTATCCCGCCCCGAAAGATGTTTCCAATTGATCTTCCCAGGAATGAAGTTACCAGCCTCGATGCAGCTGTGCACAAGGCGGAAAGTAAAGAGGGGCGGGGGGCCGCTGGAGCGAAAGAGAAAAAGAAATGAAACTCGACACCGGATGACTAGCGAGCTAGGGGAGAGGAAGAAACGCGGACGGCCGCGTGTGCCCTACAGGAGATCAAAGTCTGGGGGAAGAGGTGCAACCTCACCGGGCCTTGGTAAGCACTGAATTACTGTACTTTCATTTTCCAACTTCCTGTCACTACAGAAAATGAGAATTGCTCCCCTCCTCCCCATCCACGCCGAAAAAATCGCCGCCACCTTTCGCCCACGAGACTTCGGGGGACCAAGAGGCGACGAGAGCTGAGCGGTGCGCTGCGGCGTCCACCTGTGCGCCGCGGTGCCCGGCGGGCCGGGGGCGGACCCAAGGGGAGCGCGCGCGCCCGGCCCCGGCCCCCGCCCCCACTTCCTGTTGTGCCGCGCGCCCCTCGGCCCCCGCCCCCGCTCCCGGCCGGTGGGGCTGTGGCCGCGAGATCCCGAGGGGGCGCGCGGGGCTGACCGCTCACCGACGCCGCGCGCGGGGCTCCCCCTCGGTCTCCGCCTCGAACACGATGCGCCTCTCCGCCCTCAGCCTCCTCCTCACGCTGGAAACTCGAGGACGGCGCGGCAGCCGCTGCGACCCCCGCGGCGGAGCCGTAGAAGGCGGCGGCGGCCAAGCCGAGCCCGCCGGGTGCCCGCAGCCGCCCGCATCTCCCGCCGCCGCGGCTCCTGGCGCCCCGCCCTCCCCGCCCCCGCACGCGGCAGCGGCGGCGCGGGTCTTGGGGCCGCTACACGCCGGGCGCGCGCGTTCGGGGCGTTCCTTGCAGCGGCGGGGCCTGCCAGGCCCTCCGCGGCCGCCGCCACTCTCAAACCCCCCGACTGCTCCTGGGTCCCTCCCAGACGCCGTAGTCGCTACACGTCACTTCCGGGGGAGGGGCTGCGACCCTAAGGGGTGTCGTGAGCCGCGTCTGCCAGCAAACCCGGGTTTGGTGTGGCCGGGGGATGTAGCTCGGGCGCCTCCTGGAGTCGTCTCGCCGCTCTCCGTCGCGTTCGGTGCGGTTGCTTCCAGGTCCCTGAGGCGCCCGTCCGGAACCCGCCAGGACCCAAGCTGCCGCCTGGGCCGGGACCTCGGACTCCTCAAAGGCGCGCCACTTTCTCCTCGGTTGGAGGGAAGAGGTGGCGCTCGCAGAGCAACCTGCGGGGGACCACTTCTGTTGGTGCTAAGCTTTGGGGAGAGTCTCCTCCCTCCTGTGTCCCTCGTCCTCCTTACCACTCGCTGTTAGAAGTTGGGGCCGTCACAGCTTTCTCATCGAAGTGCCAGATCCCAGGACACTACAAACGCTTGATAAATACTAAATTAGCACTGTGGCTTTCTAGCCTGGGGACTGACAAATGGAAGCGCTGGAGTCGTGGGAAAAGCTTGCCCTGACGATGGAGGCAGCGACCAGAAATCCATTCGTGGCTCTACCCCTCACTAACTCACCAATTTTAAGCAACCTTAACCTCTCTAAAACAGTCATCATTTATAAGGTGGAGAGAACCCAATCTTAGAGTTGTTGTAATGATTAAAGAAAATAAGGTGCATGAAACACCTAGCAAGAGTTTCTAGCTTAGAGGTTCTCATTAAGTAAAATTCTTAAGGAATCAGGTCACACTTGATACAAGAGGCTACTTGAGCAGTTTAGCACCAGAAGGAATGTAAAGTCATAAATTAGGACAGCTGAACAAAACCTCCAAGAAATAAATTAGGTGTTTGTTTAACAAGAAACCAAAGAGAGGTCAGTGTCTGAGTTACTGGTTATTCGAGGCCATTTACTAGCTGTGTGACCTGTAGTGAGTTGCTTAACCTTTCTGGACCTCAGTTTCCTCATGTAAAATGACGATAATGAGCAGCATTGCTGAGAGGATTAAATGAAGTATAGAGCATAATGTACTTAGTGCATTACCTAGCACATAGTAGATACCCAGTAAATCGTGGTGTCATTTATTTTTGCCCCCACAATTGAATGTATAGTTAATTGAACTCACTGAGTGAAATGTGATTCTGTCATCCTTTTGTAGGCTTTTGGAAGAGAATCATCACTTCCTTGATTTCCAGCCTCCTCTTCCATAATACAGAGTAATTATAATCCACAAAGGTAGCTATTCCTGTAAAAACAACTCTACCAAAAGATGTTACCTTTCCAAAATTAGTTTTACCAAAGCATGCAAACATATTAAGACATGTTTTATAAGGAACATGCAGTATCTGAAAAGCACTAGCAGTCTTGGCCCCTAACATAAAATTTTCCTTGCAACAAGTTCCATCTTGGAAACCAAGAAAAAAAAAAGTATTAAGGTAGGCTGTTTAGGATACACCTATTGGAAACATTTGTTTATAAAAAGATTTCATTTTAAAGCCCCCTACCAAGAACAGTTAAGGGTTGTGGAGATCTGCACACTACGCTGCTCTGTTCAAACTGGCAGTAAACATCTGATTCGGCCTTAGGGCCAGTAGTTGTGTCATATCCCTTTTAGACTGAGCTTACGGCATTGTCAATTGCAGTGTATTTTTGGAAAACAGCCTGCTTTGGGAGTTCTTAAATTAGTCATAGCAAATCTGTCTGCTTTTAAATTGACTTTTTTTTAAGGCGGTACATATTGACAGAAGAGAAAGGAAGAAAAGTGGATTTCTAATTAGAGAACTTGAGGGGAAAAGTTAATTAATGTGCCTGGTTTTCCCACTCAAGATTCTATAAATACACAATCTCTCTCCATGGTTCCTCACACAACAGATGGTTCTGTTTGTGCAAACTCCATGGTAGTTACGTTGGTCAACCAAAAAGACTGCTTTTTCGTTATCTTGTTTGGTCACTTTCCCACCAGATAGATGGATTCCTGATCTTAGCCTTAGTTACTCAGAGCCATCCCAAAGAAAATTTGTAGATTTTATTACAATGTTTATTTATTTTTTTGAGACAGAGTTTCGCTCTTCTTGCCCAGGCTGGAGTGCAATGGCGCAATCTCGGCTCACCGCAACCTCCGCCTCCCGGGTTCAAGCGAGCCTCCTTCCTCAGCCTCCCAAGTAGGTGGGATTACAGGCATGCGCCACCATGCCCGGCTAAATTTTTTTGTATTTTTAGTAGAAATGGAGTTTCTCCGTGTTGGTCAGGCTGGTCTCGAACTCCTGACCTCAGGTGATCCGCCCGCCTCGGCCTCCCAAAGTGCTGGGATTACAGGCGTGACCCATCACGCCTGGCTTAAAATGTTTAAATATGTATTTTCTACCTGGCCTGCCCTAGATTTTGTTTTTTGTTTTTTGTTTTTTGTTTTTTTTTTTGAGACAGAATCTCACACAGTCACCCATGCTAGAGTTACAGTGGCACAATCTCGGCTCACTGCAACCTCCGCTTCCCGGGTTCAAGCGATTCTTCTGCCTCAGCCTCCTGAGTAGCTGGGACTATAAGTGTGCACCACCACGCCCAGCTAATTTTGGTATTTTTAGTAGAGACGGGGTTTCACCGTGTTGGCCAGGCTGGTCTCAAACTCCTAACCTCGTGATCCGCCTGCCTTGGCCTCCCAAAGTGTTGGGATTACAGATGTGAGCCACCGGGCCTGGCCTAGATTTTTTTTCTTAATCACTGCAGTTAACTCAGCTCTGCAACCCCTTGCCCCTAATTTAATTACATTTCCTATCCCAATAACACCTAGTTATGATCATTACTTCTCAAGGCAACTTCCTCTTCCCTCTCTTTATTTCACTGCTTCATCATTACTCCCAGTCACTATCCCTTTTTCCTAAAGAAGTGTTTCACGGATTTTTGACTGACTAAGCAAGCATGGAGCCATCCAGTTGCCTGTTACGTCTTTCAAGCAATATCCTGTAGCACGTGACATTAAGAAGAGATATCTTTTAAGTCAAAGACAGCACCCACAACCCCAGGTGGGGACAAGTGTGGAGCAAATTGCAACATGACTGAGAAGAAAGAATAAAAATCTGGGATATCTGGGTTCTAGCCTTTGGGTCTCCCTAAACTCAAAACTTGAACCTCCTGAGAAAATCCTTGCGACTTACCCTTTCTGGGTTTCACTTTCAACATCTTTAGAAATAAAAGAGACATACCTTTCACTTCATGTCTGTAATGGATAGACTAAAAGAAAAAGGCAGTAGGCTGGTTGTGGTGGCTCACACCTGTAATCCCAGCACTTTGGGGGGCTGAGGCAGGTAGATCACCTGAGGTCAGGAGTTCAAGACCAGCCTGGCCAACATGGTGAAACCCCATCTCTGTTAAAATACCAAAAAAATTAGCCAGGTGTGGTGGCAGGCACCTGTAATCCCAGCTACTCAGGAGGCTGAGGCAGGAGAATGGCTTGAACCCGGGAGGTGAGGGTTTCAGTGAGCTGATACCGTGCCACTGCACTCCAGCCTGGGTGACAGGAGCGAAACTGCGTCTCAAAAAAAAAAAAAAAAAAAAAGCGGTTGATCAAATGATGCTTTGAACTCTTGGTAAATAGCCCTATTGCTGTTATATTTGTGTGGACTGAGATCTTAGATAGAGGTAAAGTTATCTTTGAAAAGAAAACTCTGGCTAGCTGTATATTGAATCTGGCAGCACTGGCAACCCCTACTACCTGTTAAGGTCCTAAACTTTACCAAATATAACCAGTAAACGTTTCATCCCCAATAATAAGGCTTTTAATCAGAGGGTATTAAGGGTCCGGAGAAAACCCAATCTGAAGGTCATTGAACAAGGTACTTGTGGCCTCTAGACTGTGAAGTAAACTCATGGCAACATCTTTCAGGACTAGCTGTAATCTCCACACAATACATTGTTTTTTCAGAGAGGACATGACGAGACATGAGTTATTGCAATTACCGCCTGAGGCATAGCAACTGTCTAATATGTTTGATGACCTGTCACAAACACAGGTCAGAAAATAGCTTCATATAATTTTCATTCTTGATCTCTACACCCAGTCTACTTATTTTCTTTTAATATTTTTAACCTCAAGTAATTTTATTGGTCTTTGATAAATGTATTATTTCTAGACTTATAAAAATTGATATGGAATATGTAATAGAGAAAGAAGAGAGAATATATCAATTTTTTTTTGAGACAAAATCTCACTCTGTCACCCAGGCTGGAGTGCAGTGATGGGATCTCGACTTACTGCAACCTCTGCCTGCCGGGTTCAAGCGATTCTCCTGCCTCAGGCACCTGAGTAGCTGGGATTACAGGCGTGTGCCACCATGCCTTGCTAATCTTTGTGTATTTAGTAGAGACGGGGTTTCGCCATGTTGGCCAGGCTGGTCTCAAACTCCTGACCTCAGGTGATCTGCCCACCTTGACCTCCCAAAGTGTTGGGATTACAGGCGTGAGCCACCTTTGGAAAAGGTGTTCCTTAATTGATAAAAGCTCATGAAATCTGCCTTTTGTATAATTGTTTAAGATTCTGGTGTTTGGACCAGCTCCTTGCAGAATACATATTGCTCTGAATTTTAAGCCAAAATAATTTTTCCTCTCTGGTGTATTTTATAATCACTGTCTGGAAAAAAAACTTCTTCAATTAAAGTTAATTAAGGAAGCACCAATATATGATACTATGCTGTTATTACAGAAGAAACTCAAAGAGCATTTGCTCTTCTAGGAATTCTGAGTCTTGAATTGGCAACACTGACACCCTCAGCGACCATCATTGCTGTCCACGACTTCCAGCATTTTCAGAATTCTTTTGCTATCCCGTTGACATGAACAAAGAATTCAGCTAAGGATTCAGAAATGATGGGAGAGGCAGTCAGGCTGACAAACGAAGATATAAGTGCAGCTCTGAGCAGGGTTTTGTGTTGTGAGGGAAGTAAAATGAGGGTTTGGAGAGAGTAAAATTACCACCTCCCACTGCATTAAAGAACATTTCCTGGAAAGGGTGGAGTTTGAAAGACTTGGTGCTAATTCAAAAAGATGGAATGCCATCTTTTTTTTTTCCTTGCTTTATATATCCAGCAGCAAAACAAAATTGTTCTGCTGTGCTAGAAAATTTGGCTTGTGAGTCGTGTACACAACTCAGGAGTGTGACACAGCTACCAGCTTTCCTCCTAACTCTCAAGGGAAGAAAATTCAAGTTCTGTCTAGGCTCACTCTGTAAAGTGGGAAACTTGCTGGTTTTGTAGGCTTTTTTTCCCCTTCTTTCCCTCTCTCAGCTTCTCCCTGCTTCTCAGAAGATGGAGTTGTGATGCCTGCAACTTACCAAATTTATCTATGAATCAGATTCCAGTGGGAGACCCCTAAAGCAGAGGGAGAATAAGGAGTTCTCCCCATGATGGAAAATATCCAAAGACAAGGTTTCATGGAGCAAAGAATTCTGGCTAGATTTGGTTTGTAAGTGGATCCCTCCCCACTGTGTGTACACTTTATCTGTCTCTTTGCTTCTTCCCCACCCTCTTTCCCAGCTCTCTCTCTGTCTCTCTCTTGTTCCCTGACCCTTTTTTCTTCCTATGCATACTTTTTTCTTTCCCTTTTTAATCTCTATATCTTAATCCTACCAATGGCCCTCTGAGAATTTATTAGCCATGATAGGGATTCTTAGGCCTGAGATTTCTTATCAAAAAATATTTTTAAAGCATTAACCGTGTGCTGAGCTCTGTGCTGGATACTTTAGGAGATTCAAAAATAAGACCAGTCTCTTCTCTTCAGAAGTTTCCAGTAGATAAAGGGGTAACATCACTATAATATAGGAAAGAGTATTTAGTGGAGGTAAAAACTACGAATGTTGAGAGTGTTGAGAGTAGGGAGGAGAAGATCAGGAGAATCTTCGTGTTCCCACCAGAGAACCAACCTGACCACTCCAGGGTATGGTATTCAGGCATTTGGCCTGAAATGTCTTCTTCTTTACTCTCTCCCATCTGACTGTCTCCTACTTTAGGGCTCAGCTTAGATGTCCCCGATTCCAGGAAGTCCCCTAACACCCTAAACTAGGTTTGGGACTTTCCAGTGTCTCCCATCATGTCCAGTACTGGTCCTTGCAGCACTCTCCACACTGACTTGAAGTTTCTTACTTGTCTCTTCAAGTGTTGGAAATGAGTTCTGGAGAAGAGAGCCCAGGTTGTTTACCTTTGCAGCACAGTTGCAGAATAATCCCTGCCCCAGGAGTGGCTCAGTAAAGGTTTATTGAAGAGATCATCCAGGAAAAGGGAATGGCATGGCAGAGCTCAGAGGCACAAACTGCCTGGCATAGAGATTTGCAGCGTGGCTTGCGCTGGAGTCCGTTTCGTCTGCCTCTCCACGGCCTTTGCTTCACCCACTACTGCCTCTCTTACGTTCGGCCTCTCACCTCCCTCTCCTTCTGCTAGTAAACATGCTCAAGTCCCACCCATTTAGAAAACTTCCCCCTTCAAGTATTAGCCTTTCCTTCTCTTTAGTATCAAACTTCAAAAAATAATGGTTTCTATCTCCTGCCTACCCATCCTCACCTTCTGCTTACTCTTCAGCCCGCTGAATCTGTCTGCTGTCTCCACCACTGACTTTTCCGTAGTAAAGGCTACAGCTATCCTGATTGCCAAATCTCACATTCCCTTTTCAGGAACTGTCCCGTTCGCCATCTTCGGCTGTTCCTCAAGACCAGTTTAGATGTTGCCTCCTTAGGTACACATCCCTGACCTCCAGAGCAGACTTAGCTGTCCCTTCCTGGCACCCTCTCGGAAACACTCTCTTCTCTTGGCCTCTGTGATTCTTCTATCTCCCTAACCAGTTTTTGTCTCTCTTTTGGGACTTCTCTTCTACCAGCTCTGAAAGAAAGTTCTGTCCTTGCTTCAGGTTTCTATCTTCGGCCTGTTGTCCTTCAACACACTCCCCATAAGGGACCCCATTCTCTCCAAGCCTTCGTTCATCACCCAGATGCTAATGAGCCCTAACCTTTATCCTGTCTTCTGTGAACTCTGGATCCGTTTCCAGTGTCCTACAGGATTTCTCCACCTGAATGTCCTCATGACACTTCCATCTCAGAATATACAACTTGAACTCATTACTTATACCTGCCACACCAAACCCTTTCCCAGTTTCAGTTGATCCCCTTTCCCAGTTTCAGTTGAAAGCGTTACCCAGACACCTCAGTCATCCTCAACAATTCCTTCTGCCTCACCCTCCACAGACAATTGGTCACCATGGCCTGATGCATGTACCTCTAGAATATCTCACATTAATCTGTTCCTCATGCCTGTCCCCAAGGCTCTCATCATCATCTCTCTCTCTTTTTTTTTTTTGTTGAGACAGAGTCTTGCTTTTTTTGCCCAGGCTGGAGTGCAGTGGTGCTATCCTGGCTCACTGCAACCTCCGCCTCCCAGGTTCAAGTGAGTCTCATGCCTCAGCCTCCAAGTAGCTGGGATTACAGGTGTGTGCCACCACTCCCAGCTAATTTTTGCTTTTTTTTTTTTTTTGGTAGAGACAGGGTTTCACCATGTTGGCCAGGCTGGTCTTGAACTCCTGGCCTCAAGCAATTTACCCACCTTAGCTTCCCAAAGTGTTGGGATTACAGGTGTCAGCCACCGTGCCCAGCCTGTCATCATCTCTTGCTAGGACTATTGCAGTAGCCTTCTAATTTGTCTCCCAATAACAAGGCAATCCAGCCCATCCTCCACATTGCCACATGGAAAATTTCTGAAGTACACATTTGATTGTGTCACTCAGCTGTTTTAAGAGTAGCCAGTGATTGATTTCTCTGCTGCTTCCAGGATCAAGTTCAAACTGTAACCTGAAAGACCTGTAAGCAGCAAAGTTTAAAGGCCATATCACCTTCCACTGTTCCCTACTTTCACCTTTCACTGTCTAGCTCTTTTTAAGCCTAATCCCCTCCTTCATAAACTATATCCCCTGCAAACACATAAAGCATTTTCAGGACTCCAGCCTTTTGTTTATATAGTGCTCTCAGCCTGGATTGTCTCCTCTATCCGATGAGATTCTGAAAAACTAAATGCTGTGTCAGTCATCTCTGTATATCCAATGGGTCCTTGCCCAATGCCTGGCATAAAATAGGGACTTAGTAAATTTTGAATGATTAATTCCCACTTCAAGGAAGACTCAGCTCTCAAATGTTATTTCTTCCCTGCTTCCCCTGACCACCTCCCACCTCTACCCCATTAGATGTGATTGTTCTTCCTGTGGGAATGTTCCTATTTATTTAACAAATATTTTGTGAGTTCCTGCCATACACCAGGCACTGTGCTAAGAAAGAGGAATATAAGATGCTTTCAGGGCCAGGCACAATGGCTCATGCTGGTAATCCCAACACTTTGGGAGGCCGAGGTGGGCAGATCAGTTGAGCCCAGGAGTTTGAGACCAGCCTGGGCAACATGGCAAAACCCCCTTTCTATTAAATACAAAACTTAGCTGGGCATGGTGGCATGTGACCGTAGTCCCAGCTACTTGAGAGGCTGAGGTAAGAGGATCACCTGAGCTCAGGAGGTAGAGGCTGCAGTGAGCTATGATAGTACCACTGCACTCCAGCCTGGGTGACAGAGTGAGACCCTGACTCAAAAAAAAAAAAAAAAAGAGAACAACAAGACATTTTCAGTTAAGGGTAATAGACTGATAAGTAATCATTTATAGCACTGTATGAATTTGACTTCTCTAGGAAACTCATATAAGTGGAATCATTAGTATTTGTCTTTTTGTGACTGGTTTATTTTACTTGGCATAAATGTCCTCAAGGTCCATCCATGTTATAGCAGGTGTCAGAATTTCCTGATTAATACTAGAGACTCACTTTTATAGCATACCTGTTTGTTTTGCCTAATTTTTTTTTTAATAGAGTCTCACTCTGTCGCCCCGGCTGGTGTGCAGTGGCACGATCTCAGCTCACTGCAACCTCTGCCTCCTGGGCTCAAGCAATTCATCTACCTCAGCCTCCCAAGTCGCTGGGATTACAGGTGCCCACCACTGCGCCCAGCTAATTTTTGTATTTTCAGTGGAGACGGGGTTTCGCCATGTTGGCCAAGCTGGTCTTGAACTCCTGACCTCAGGTGATCCGCCTGCCTCGGCCTCCCAAAGTGCTAGGATTACAGGCATGAGCCACTGCACCCAGCCTGTTCTGCCTAATTTTTTTTAAACCATGCATTAATGATGAAATAGTCACCGCTTTCATGACAGCTTTCCTTGCTCTCCAAACTGTGTATTATTACCATCTCTTCTGTATTCTAGGAGAGGAGGAAGAGAGGTGTATATGCCTCTTTATAGCCTGTGTAACATTCTGTTTTGTATTACAGCCATGTTTGTACTTGGGATGGGGACCTTAGCATCTCTTGTTGAACAGAGCGCTTTATACACAACAGACCAACACGTTTGGTTGGATGAATGGTCATATTCAACCTCTTCAGATGCCACTATTCATGGCAATTGACCATTGTCCACAGCCTCATATCAGAGAATCTCAAGGTTAAAAGGTGCTTAAAAATAATGTAGCCCAAGCATCCCTTAATGCTTCAATCTCCTTCACAACCCTGCACCAAACACTTATCCAGCCCATGTTCCAAAACCTCCAAGGCAGAACCCTTCACCCTTTGCCTACCAAAACCTGTATTCCTGTAACCTCTCCTGGCCCCATTCTGATCTCTGGAGAACATAGAACAACTCCATCCCTTCCTCCTCAGAGCAGCCTTTTCAATAGCTGAAGACTGCTCTCAAGTCTCCTGGGAATCTCTTTGCCAAGCTAAATATATCTCCATCCTCTAGTGAGAGGATTTCAAGAACCTTTACTATCTTGCCCATTGCCCTTGCTCTAAATAGGAGGTAAAATGACAATAATGGCCACATTGGGCACAGCATGGTTTTCTGTTGCAAGCTATCGACCCCAGATTGAACAGTCATAAGCTTTATGTAAGCAAAAAGAAAAAAAGTTTTACATCAGGTTTGAAAATAGGCTGCCAGTTGCCTCACTGCTCCAAACACCCTGCTGCCCACTTTGCCACCAGCTAGCAGGTGAGATTAGTGGATTGTGCAGTGGGAAGAGCCTTCCTCATTGGGCCTGTTTCCTTTTCTGTAAACTGAGGGAGTGGTTTGATCCCCACTTCCACAACACAACCAGGAAAGGGGTGGCATGCCTAAAAATGTCATTGTAAAGAAGATGCGATGCAGTGCTACTGCTAGAAGACTATTTGCAGAAATTTTCTACCAGCTAACTGAAATTAAGCATTGGGCCAGCTCTAGCCATTCATCCCTCTGGATGTGTACTGTTGAATTAGTTTCCCAGCGTAACATAGACTGCAGTGGTCTGGGCCAGCTCTCAACAGAGTAACAAGGAGGCAAGGTCTTTGGGCCTGCCCTGTCCCTCCTGTACCCCATCTCTCATTGTCCTGAATGCTCAGTTTCAAGAACCAAACTATGCTCACTGTGGATAGTTTGCTTCTGTGCATCTTTGAAACTCATTGATCAGGGATCTCCGAGAGGATAGGGACTGTATCTGTCTATTCACCCTGTACCCCTGCCTTCCCCCATTGCACCTTGCTCTTCAGAAAAAAAAAAAATTCATCCAACTGTTTATATTTTCGTGTGAATTTATGTCAGTGCATTATTTTCCCATTTTAAGTCTTATTTCTAATTATGGTCTCCAATTAAGGGGATTCCATCCTCAGCTAACAGGTAAGATTAGTGGATTGTGCAGTGGGAAGAACCTTCCTCATTGGGCCTCAGTTTCCTCATCTGTAAACTGAGAGAGTGCTTTGATCCCCAGCTCTGGTATCTAAGGATTGATGATTTATTTGGTGTTAGTAAATAAACCTAGGGGCCCTCTGTGCACTCCCAAACCCCTGGGCCCCCATCAAAACACTGTCACCTTGTATTAGGATCTCCAGATAAATAGAACCAATAGGGTTTGTGTGTGTGTGTGGTGTGTGTGTAAAGAGATTTATTACAAAGAATTGGCTCACACTTATTGAAGGCTGACAAGTCCCAAGTCCCAAGATCTGCAGGGTAAGTCAGCAAGCTAGAGACCCAGGAGAGCCTGTGGTACAGTTCCGGTCCAAAGGCTAGCAGTTACAGACCCAGGAAGAGCCAATATTTTAAGTCCACAGGCAGGAAAAAGTCAATATCCCAGTTTAAATGCAGCCAGGCAAGAGGAATTCTGTCTTACTCAGAGCAAGGATCTGTTTTGTTCTGTTCAGGCCTTTACTGATTGGATGAGGCCCACCCACATTATGGAAGACAAACTGCTTTACTCAGTCTACCGATTTAAATGTTCATCCCATCCAAAAACATCCAGAATAATGTTTGACCAAATATCTAAACATCCTGTGGCCCAGTCAAATTGACACATAAAATTCATCATCATACCCTTAGAGGTAGGTAACAGCCACTCAAAAGGCCTGGCCCTGTCGTGAACAAGAGAGGTATCAGACAGGCAAGTTCTTTGAACTCCTGGATATAAAGGCAAGGCCCATCCTTGGTCTCCGACTCTATCTCTTCCCCTAACACCCCTGCCCACAATTCCTACAATTTCTTTCCACTGCCATTCACATCTTTTTTTTAAGATGGAGTTTCACTCTTGTCGCCCAGGCTGGAGTGCAATGGTGCGGTCTCGGCTCACTGCAACCTTCACCTCCCAAGTTCAAGCGATTCTCTTGCCTCAGTTCCCTGAGTAGCTGGGATAACAGGCACCTGCCACCGCACCCAGCTAATTTTTGTATTTTTAGTAGAGACGGGGTTTCACCATTGTTGGCCAGGCTGGTGTCGAACTCCTGACCTCAGGTGATCCGCCTGCCTCGGCCTCCCAAAGTACTGGGATTACAGGCGTGAGCCACTGCGCCCAGCTATTTTTTTTTTTTTTTTAACATTAAGAAAATTTTAAGCCAAGCGCGGTGGCTCACGCCTATAATCCCAGCACTTTGGGAGGCCAAGGCAGGCAGATCACTTCAGGTCAGGAGTTCGAGACAAGCCTGAACAACTTGGTGAAACCCCATCTCTACTAAAAATACAAAAATTAGCTGGGCATGGTGGTACATGCCTGTAATTCCAGCTATTCGGGAGGCTGAGGCCGGAGAATGGCTTGAACCCAGGAGGCAGAGATTGCAGTGAGCCCAGATCACACCACTGCATTCCAGCCTGGGTGACAGAGTGAAAACTCTGTCTCAAAAAAATAAAAGAAGAAAAAGAAAATTTAAAAGGATTTTTAGGAAAATATTACTTATAAAATTACTAGATATTCATAAATTAAATAAAATTATTCTTTTTATAGCACACTGAAACAAAAGCCACAAACTCATCTGAAAAACTGTGAAACCACTCATCATTCATAGAGTATTACTAAACTGAATCTAAAGGTCAAAAAAAAGTACTGCAGTAAACCACATGATACGCAAAAGTAAAACACAACTTTTATCTTAGGCCCAGCCACCTGATATTAGAAGCTGGAGCGTTAAGCTGAGGTTGTCCACTTGCCCAAAAGAAATACAGTTTTCATTTGCCCATTCATTTTGTTTGCCCAATAATTCATTTAAACAAACAAGCAAATGTAATGAGCACCTACTATGTGTAAACACAGAGCTAGAGTGGGGGCAACACAACAATGAATAAGATGCAGCTTTTCCCTGGAAGATCTTGGTGGAGGACCAGATTGCAAATTCTTGCCTGGGCTTCAGAAATCAATTTAGTATCATGGCTGGGCGTAGTGGCTCACACCTGTAATCCTAGCACTTCGGGAGGCCGAGGTGGGCAGATCACCTGAGGTCAGAAGTTTGAGACCAGTCTGGCCAACATGGTGAAACCCCATCTCTACTAAAAAAAATACAAAAATTAGCCAGGCGTGGTGGCACGTGCCTATAATCCCAGGTACTGGGGAGGCTGAGGCAGGAGAAATGCTTCAACCTGGGGTGGGGAGCTGAGGTTGCAGTGAGCTGAGATAGAGTCACTTCACTCCAGCCTGAGCGAAAGAGCAAGACTCTGTCTTTAAAAAACAAAAAACAAGCATCGTTTCTCCTAGGAAGCCCTCTCTGATCCCCCAGGGCCCCTCTGAGACTGGGCCCCTCCAGGCACACCCCCATCACAGCACTGTGACACATTCTATAATTGCTTCTGCATATCTCCAGCCCCCTCACTGCTTGGGGACATCCAAGAGGACAAAGACTGCATCTGTCTCTTCACCGTGTCGCAGCCCCAGCACGTGGTAGTTGCTTAATAAATGTGGAAAGACTTAGCAGATGATGAAGTCAAACAAATTTCTGCCCAGTGAACATAAGGACCACAGTAGCAGTATGCTATAAGGAGACTGAGGCAGGAGTGATTAACTTCAGAGGCCATAGAAAGAAATGTTTAAGCTGAGTGTTGGAGAATAAATACAAATTCAGTAGGCAGAGAGCTCTCCATGAAGAGAATGCAGCCAACAGCAAAGGCACTGAGGCTCAACAGAGCAAAGTTTGCTTGAATGGAGGGAAGCAGGTCATCATGGCTGAAGCAGGATTTGAGGGGCTGGGAGAGCTGAGGCGGTGGGCAAAGGGGATAAAGAGGTGTACAAAGCCACACGTGAAGGGGCTTGTTTGTCGCATGCAGAAACGTGAGTCTCCTGAGGGTCCTCCGCCAGCCCAAGCATGAGGTAGTCAGCTCAGTGCTCCGGCCAGATAACCCAGGCTGTAGTACAGGCATGGACCCAGCGGAGGGACAGGCGGGACTGGAGAAAGGAAGAGGGATGGGTTCATGTGTGAGTCCAGAAAGAGATGCTAAGGGCCCAACCATGACAGTAGCAGTGAGGATGGCAATGAGAAAATCAATGTGAGGGATAGGTAGGAGATAAAATCAATAAGACTTAGTGGGTTTTTTTTAATGGCTAATGCATGAAGGCTAGGAAAATATATGTACAATCAATTGAAGTGCTCACATCTTTCAAGAGTTCATTATGTCAAAAACATTCTGCAGCTGTTTCATACAAGGAAATCTTTTTTTTTTTTTTTTGAGTTGGAGTCTTGCTCTGTCACCCAGGCTGAAGTGCAGTGGTGCCATCATAGCTCACTGCAACCTCTGCCTTCCAGGTTCAAGCCATTCTCCTGCTTCAGCCTCCTGAGTAGCTGGGATTATAGGTGCCCGCCACCACCCCAGCTAACTTTTTTTTTTTTTTTTGTAGAGACAGGGTTTCACCATGTTGGCCAGGCTGGTCTTGAACTCCTGACCCCAGGTGATCCACCTGCCTCAGCCTCCCAAAGTGCTGGGATTACAGGCGTGAGCCACTGTGCCCGGCCAGGAAATCATCATTTTTATTCCTATTTTAAAAACAACCTTCTAGTGGTCATTTCTCTCCACTTCCCCCAACTTTGTACCTCAGTACCTATTGGCAGTTATCAAACAGTCTTGTGCTGTTAGAAATAACTTTCCTGGCCAGGCTCGGTGGCTCATGCCTGTAATCCCAAAACTCTGGCAGGCCGAGGCCACAGGATGACTTGAGGCCAGGAGTTTGAGACCAGCCTGGGCAACATAGTGAGACCACATCTCTAATAAATAAAAAAAAGAATAATCATAAAATAAAAATTACCAAAAAAAGGACTTTTCACTTGAACATGTCTTATTTTCCCACAGGGAAAACTGAGAACTCAAAGAGAGCAATGATAGCATTTTAGACATCTTCATACCCACCCCATAGTTGTACGTACCATGGTGCCTTATACCTACCAGGTATCCAGTAAACAGCAATGGCTGGTTGACTGGTTGGTTGGTGTGTATCAGAAGGTGAGGAGACGGGTCAAAAGTCCTCCACTTAAAAAAAAAACACCTTTTTATTTTGGAATATTAGAGTTACAGGACAGCTGCAAAGATAATGCAAAGGTTTCCTATACAGCCTCACCTCCACCTTTGAAAATTGGTGATGGTAGAAGAAAAATAACCCTGAACCAGTGTGCCCTTGGGCAGGTCACACCACCTTAGCAGGCTCCAGTTTTATCACTGAAAGCAAGATAACAGGGTTCGCCTCACTGTCTTAGTCAGCTTGAACTGCTATAACAAAATACCATAGCTGGGCACGGTGGCTCACGCCTGTAATCCCAGCACTTCGGGAGGCCAAGGCGGGTGGATCACGAGGTCAGGAGATCGAGACCATCCTGGCTAACACGGTGAAACCCCGTCACTACTAAAAAAAATACACAAAAAAAATTAGCCGGGCGTGGTGGCGGGCACCTGTAGTCCCAGCTATTCAGGAGGCTGAGGCAGAAGAATGGTGTGAACCCAGTAGGCGGAGCTTGCAGTGAGCTGAGATAGCACCACTGCACTCCAGCCTGGGCGATAGAGCGAGATTCTGTCTAAAAAAAAAAAAGAAAAAAATTCCGTAGACTAGGTGGCTTATAAACAATGGGTATTTATTCCTCACAGTCCTGGGGCCTGGGAAGTCCAAGGTCAAGGCTGTGGCAGATTGAGTGTCTGCTGAGGGCCTGCTTCCTGGCTCATAGAGGCCATCTTCTCGCTGTGTCCTCACATGGCAGAAGGGGCAAGAGAACTCTTTTAAAAGGGCACCAATCCTATTGATGAGGGCTTCCACCCTCATGACCTAATTGCCTCCCAAAGGCTCCACTTCCAATGCCATCACACTGGGGGTTAGGTTTCAGCATAATCTGGGGAGGAGCACAGTCTGTAGCAGCCGCCTCCACACTCTTCACCCATCACTGTAATAAAATCACTGAGAAGAGGTCAGGCAGTGCCGTGTTCTCTGGGTCTAGAGCCTCTCCAGGATCAGGTCCCTCAGCAGGCAGGCAGCTGCTCCCTGTCTGCCTCCTCGGTGCCAAATCTGGGCTGCCAGTGTGTCTTTCATTGCCACAGCCCCAGAACTAACATGAGGCTCAGCATACAGGAAGGTAGACAGATACTACTTGATGGAAAGAAGGAGAGTGCATTAACTAGGGACTGTCAAATACTAAACAGTCAATTGGGGGAGGGGGGTACAGAGTGAGGTCCTGGAATTCTAGAGTTGGGTCTGTAATCCCAGCACTTTGGGAGGCTGAGGCGGGTGGATCACGAGGTCAGGAGATCGAGACCATCCTGGCTAACACAGTGAAACCCCGTCTCTACTAAAAATACAAAAAATTAGCCAGGCGTGGTGGCAGTAGTCCCAGCTACTCCGGAGGCAGGAGAATGGTGTGAACCCAGGAGGCGGAGCTTGCAGTGAGCCGAGATCGCACCACTGCACTCCAGGCTGGGCGACAGAGGGAGACGCCGTCTCAAAAAAATAAAATAAAATAAAATAAAATAAAATAAAATAAAATAAAATAAAATAAAATAAAATAAAATAAAATAAAATAAAATGATCTGTTAACACCCTCACTTGTTCACACAGTAGGACAGTAACTTGTCCAAGGTCAAATGCTACTAGGGGGCAGAATGGGGCCAAGTGCTTCTGTCACAGGGCAAGCTGCCCCTAATGTGCATGGAGATCTAGTGACAGTATTGGGTGCCAGAAAGTCCCAGCTCTAAACAGTCCTTCTGCCAAGGGTGATAAAACCGTCAGGCTGCTGTAATCAGATCTGAGCCTGGAAACCAAGGGCTTTTTCCCCAGCAGCACCAGGAGTAACCTGAGATCCAAGCTCCCTGGGAGATATTCCCCACCCCTACGCTGGCTGCCCACTGCCCCATCTCTCTGTAACTGGCTCTGCAGGGAGGGATACCCCAGGCCAGAAGGGAAAACCCACGAAATGTGTGAAGGATGGGACATTGCCCATCCAGTACCCCTCCTGCCCCCTTCTCTTCAATTCCCAGCCTCAAATGCAGGCCAGAACCCAGGGCTCCACCCACCTCTGGGAGATGGGCAGAACCCAGCATGATGGGGCAGTGAGGGCTGCTCCCTCCTCCTCTCCCATCAGGAGTAATCATGGACCTCCCTCCTCTAAACTCTATTTGTGGCTCACGTTCTGCGTTTTCTGCTTTCATCCTCCCTGACACGTCTATGCATGGTTGACTCACACCTGCTTTTTCTTTTCCACCTAAATTAAGTGGTCCTTAAGGGCAAGGGCCAGATTGCACTTGTCTTAGACCCCAGGTGGAGAGACCTCAGTAAACATGACATTTCTGAGGCTACTTGCAGTTTCCCACTTGCTTTCTAGAGTCTCCCTTCTTCCTGATTCTCTCCTCACTTCTGTTCTTCTTAGCAAGTTGATGTTTCTATGAGGAATGTGATTTAAAATCAAGAAACTACCAATACAAGGCCCCAATTGCCTGTGAGCTGGTTTAGTGGTCCCAGATATTTATTTATTTTTTTGAGACGAAGTTTTGCTCTGTCATCCAGGCTGGAGTATAGTGGCATGATCCCGGCTCACTGCAACCTCCACCTCCTGGGTTGTGATTCTCCTGCCTCAGCCTCCCCAGCGGCTGGGACCACAGGTGCACACCACCAAGCCCAGCTAATTTTTTGTATTGTTTTGTAGAGACAAGGTTTCGCCATGTTGCCCAGGCTGGTCTCGAACTCCTGAGCTCAAGCAATCTGCCCACCTTGGCCTCCGAAAGTGCCAGGACTACAGGTGTGAACCACCGTGCTTGGCTTTGGTCCCAGTTGTTTAAAATGTGTGCTAGAAACGCTCCTCTGTGCCCCTGAGCTTCCTGTTCCTTAAGAACTTCCAGGCTCCTTTTGTGTGCCCTGTTGAGTGTCAGGACTGAAACCATTCACACATGTGAGGAGGACAGCTCCTGTTCCCAGGGAGAAAGGATGAATGCACCTGTGAGCCAGATTCTAGGTGTTGGTACCACAGACAGGCTGACCCTGATGATTGACTGGTGGTTCTTTTTACTTCTCACATCATCCTTAACACCCACCTGCACACCAAAAGCCTCTGGGCCAGGCCTTTAACTCTGTTTCAATGTGGGAGAGATTAGAGAAGATGCATGTATATACAAGATACACAGTTCTGAACTTGCATTGGAAATATCAATATAAACTCACAATGTAGTTACATTTTTCAGCCTTGCACTGTGGCTGAAGCCTATAATCCCAGCACTTTGGGAGGCCGAAGTAGGAGGATCACTTAAGCCCAGGATTTGGAGACCAGCCTGGGCAATATAGTGAAAGACCCCACCTCTATTTAAAAAAAAAAAAAAGAAAGAAAAAAGAAAACAAAAAACATTTCCTGGGCACATGTTCTCAGGGCCTCCTGAGCCTGTGTCACAGGATATGATCCTTACACACAAAATCACAAATTTCCTAGCTTTGTCAACGGAAAAAGCCTAAAACCAATGACCAACTCAGTAACAACAAACACTTCTGATGGCCATGGTATTTATGGTCTCTAAATCTCATTTCCATAAGAAGCAACCAAAGACCCTTAGAAGAAATAGCTCATTCCAGGTCTGTGGCAGTAAAAATACAAGCTAATCCTGCACATCCAGTCATGCCAGAAAGCAAAGAAGCTTTGAAAGATCACTTAGTGAAGACTGCAGTGAGCCATGAACGCACCACTGCACTCCAGTCTGGGCAACAGAGCAAGACTGACTTCAAAACACAACAAAACAAAGACCATTTAGGATTGTGTCAAAGGACTCAGAAATCAACTTGAAGAGGCTCCCACTGGCCAAAGATGGGGACAATTTGAACATGAATAAGGATAACAACTGCAAAGGATTTAAACACAACAAATATGTTTAAATCCATGAAAACATCATGAAACTAAGGAAGAAACCTCTGCCATCATCAGGGGATGCTAGGGAATCAATTCATTATTTTGAAAACTGGTGCGTGGCTGGGCGCAGTGGCTCATGCCTGCAATCCCAGCATTTTGGGAGGCCAAAGCATGTGGGTCACCTCAGGTGAGGTGTTCGAGACCAGCTTGGCCGACATGGTGAAACCTCGTCTCTACTAAAAATGCAAAAATTGGCTGGGTGTAGTGGTAGGTGCCTGTAATCCCAGCTACTTCGGATGCTGAGGCAGTACAATTGCTTGAACCTGGGAGGCGGAGGTTGCAGTCAACTGAGATAGCACCACTGCACTCCAGCCTGGGCGACAGAGCAAGACTCCATCTCAAAAAAAAAAAAAAAAGAAAGAAAGAAAAAGAAAACTGGTGGGTACAAGGAAGGAGGTATGCACTTGTTGAAGAAACGATAGAATATCCTATGATAGATAGATAGAAAGGATAGACTATCCTATGATAGATAGAAATGATACAATATCATATGATAGATAGAAATGATAGAATATCCCATGATAGATAGATGGAAATGATAGAATATTCTATGGTAGTTAGAAATGATAGAATATCCTATGGTAGATAGATAGAAATGATAGAATATCCTATGATAGATAGAAATGATAGAATATCCTATGATAGATAGAAATGATAGAATATCCGATGATAGACAGAAATGATAGAATATCCGATGATAGATAGAAATGATAGACTATCCTATGATAGATAGATAGATAGAAATGATAGAATATCCCATGATAGACAGATAGAAATGATAGAATATCCTATGATAGAAATGATAGAAGGCCGGGCGCGGTGGCTCACGCCTGTAATCCCAGCACTTTGGGAGGCCGAGGCGGGCGGATCACGAGGTCAGGAGATCGAGACCATCCTGGCTAACACGATGAAACCCCGTCTCTACTAAAAGTACAAAAAATTAGCCGGGCGTGGTGGCGGCCACCTGTAGTCCCAGCTACTCGGGAGGCTGAGGCAGGAGAATGGCGTGAACCCGGGAGGCGGGGCTTGCAGTGAGCCGAGATCATGCCACTGCACTCCAGCCTGAGCGACAGAGCCAGACTCCGTCTCAAAAAAAAAAAAAAAAAAAAAAGAAATGATAGAATATCCTATGATAGATAGAAATGATAGAATATCCCATGATAGATAGAAATGATAGGATATCCTATGATAGAAATGATACAATATTATATGACAGAGAGAAATGATAGAATGTCCTATGATAGATAGAAATGATAGAATATCCTATGATAGATAGATATACATGATATAATATCATTTTACAACCCCTGTGAAATAATGGATCTAAGTAAAGTTATCAATGACTGCAAACACCGAAAACAGAAGACAACCACTGGCCTGGGCTACTTTGTGAGACCCCGTCTCTACAAAAAAATACAAAAATTAGCCAAGCAGGCCGGGTGCGGTGGCTCAGGCCTGTAATCCCAGCACTCTGGGAGGCCGAGGTAGGCAGACCACCTGAGGTCAGGAGTTCGAGATCAGCCTCACCAACATGGTGAAACCCCATCTCTATCAAAAATACAAAAATTAGCTGGGCATGGTGGCGAGCGTTTGAACCTGGGAGGCGGAGGTTGCAGTGAGCCTAGATCACGCCATGGCACTCCAGCCTGGGTGACAAGAGCGAAACTTCGTCTAAAAAAAAAATTAGCCAAGAGTGGTGGTGCACACCTGCAGTCCCACCTGCTCAGAAGGCTGAGATGGGAGGATCACCTGGCCCCAGGAGGTCGTGGCTGCAGTGAGCCACCACTCCAGCCTGGGTGACAGAGTGAGACCCTGTCCCAATAAAAGAAAAAAAAAAGCCCAACAGTATATGCTCCCTTATATGGAAGTACAAATCTATTAAGTATTCTTGCAAAAACAAACAAACCAAATCTGTTGTCTCTGACTTTAATTACCAGTTTACAGAAAATACAGGGGCAGTAAAAAAAATTTACCATGGGAATACAGATGGTCTAACAGAAACTCCGTTTAACAAGTAAAGAAAAAATAATCGAGGACATACCTTTGGATTAAAAGATTACAAGAGAAATGGGCACGGTGGCTGAAGCCTGTAATCCCAGCAATTTGGGAGGCCAAGGCAGGTGGATCATATGAGGCCAGGAGTTCGAGACCAGCCTGTCCACAACGTGGTGAAACCCCGTCTCTACTAAAAATACAAAAAAATTAGCCGGGCGTGCTGGCAGGCACCTGTAATCCCAGCTATTTGGAAGGCTGAAGCAGGAGAATCGCTTGAACCCAGGAGACGGAGGTTGCAGTGACCGAGATCGAGTCACTGCACTCCAGCCTGGGTGACAGAGTGAGACTCCTTCTCAAAACAAACAAAAAAAGATTACAAGAGGATTTAATAACAAGATTACAAGAGGATTTAAGAGACATATCAGCCCGTGGCAATGTATGGAATTTATTCAGATTCCAATTTGAAAAAAACTATACCCCCAAACATTTATGAGGCCGGGAAATGTAAACGGTGACTGGATATTTGCTTATCTTAAAGAATTACTATTCTTAGGTATCATCATGGTAGCGTGACTACTTAAAAAAAAAAAGTCCTGGCCGGGCTTGGTGGCTCACGCATGTAATCCCCCAGCACTTTGGGAGGCCGAGATGGGCAGATCACCCGAGGTTAGGGATTCCAGACCAGCCTGGCCAACATGGTGAAACCCCATCTCTACAAAAAATACAAAAATTAGCCAGGCATGGTGGCTCATGCCTGTAATCCCAGCTACTTGGGAGGCTGAGACAAGAGAATCACTTGAACCCAGGAGGCAGAGGTTGCAGTGAGCAGAGATCGTGCCATTGCACTCCAGCCTGGGCGACAAGAGTGAAACTATGTCTCAAAAAAAAAAAAAAAAGAAAAAAAAAGTCCTTATCTTTTAGAGATATATTCTGAAATATTTCCTAATGAAATATGCTATCTGAAATTTGCTTCAATGTTATGTAAGAGGAATGTACAGAAGTATTGATGAAACAATGTTGACCATGAGCTGGTAATTGCTGAAGATGAATGATGAGTACATTGGCATTCTTTATACTCTTCTCTCTGCTTTTGTAGGTATTTAACATCTCCATGACAAAAAGTTTAAAACAGGCTGGGCGCGATGGCTCACGCCTGTAATCCCAGCACTTTGGGAGGCCGAGGCAGGCAGATCACTTGAGGTGGGGAGTTTGAGACCAGCCTGGCCAACATGGCAAAACCCTGTCTCTACTAAAACTACAAAAAAAAAAAAAAAAAAAAAATTAGCCAGGCATGGTGGCATGTGCCTGTAGTCCCAGCTACTCAGGAGGCTGAGGTGGGAGAATCACTTGAACCCGGGAGGTGGAGGTTGCAGTGAGCTGAGATGGTGCCACTGCACTCCAGCAGCCTGGGCAACAGAGTGAGACTCCATCTCAAAAAAAGAAAAGTTTAAAACAGCATTTTGAATATATGTCCCTAACTGGATATATCCCAAGGACTAAAACAACCACAAAGAAATCTTAAATTTCATTTAGTAATGTTATTGTCAGCAATATATTACTATTGTCACTTTGGAAACTTATATAGACTGAATGATAAAGCATATAAGTAATTATGTTAATATGACTAGGAACCCAAAATTTCAGCTCACTGCAACCTCCGCCTCCCGGGTTCAAGCGATTCTCCTGCCTCAGGCCCCCGAGTAGCTGGGACTACAAGTGCACGCCACCACGCCCAGCTAATTTTTGTATTTTTAGTAGAGACGGGGTTTCTCCATGTTGGCCAGGATGGTCTTGATCTCGTGATCTGCCTGCCTTGGCCTCCCAAAGTGCTGGGATTACAGGCGTGAGCCACAGCGCCCGGCCCCTGCAAAATATATATATTTTTGAGATGGAGTTTTGCTCTTGTCACCCAGGCTGGAGTCCAGTGACACGATCTCAGCTCACTGCAACCTCCACCTTCCGGGTTCAAGTGATTCTCCTGCCTCAGCCTCCCAAGTAGCTGGGATTACAGGCATGCGCCACCACGTCCAGGTAATTTTTGTACTTTTAGTAGAGATGGGGTTTCTCCATGTTGCTCAGGCTGGTCTCAAACTCCTGACCTCAGGTGATCCACTCGCCTCAGCCTCCCAAAGTGCTGGGATCACAGGCATGAGCCACCGTGCCCAGCCACCCTGCAATATTTAATTTGACTTGGAACATCAGTATTAACTTACTTTTTGTTGTTTCTGAAAGATAAACATCTCCTAGCTATGCCCACTGAAAAGACCTAAAAAAAAAAAAAAAAAAAAAAAGGCCAACCTAGTAGCAACCCTGTACTCAGATTGTGGTCCCTGACATGCACCAGAGATTGAGAAATGGCCAAGTCCATGTCTGGGGCAGGAAATGGACAAGATGAACTTGAGCTATCTTGTGCCTAAAATCAAGGAAACATCAAAGGCTACTGGAGTGGTCAAAAGAACACAGGAAACATCCGGAAGGAGGTCCCAGATGGACAGCTTGAGCCTCAACAATACCAACTGCAATGGATTGAAACACAAATGCATGAAATCCACAAGTTTGTAATGATAATTAATTTAAAACAATAACCTCACTGATCACCTTTGGTAGCTGTTAGAGCATCATCTGATTACTCCAAAAATTGGTAAGTGATGGGATAGTATCAAGCATTTATCATAGTTTTCCCATACAAACCATATTTTAGCATAATCAAATAATGAATGAGGAAAACATTTTCTTTATGGAAGACTCATACCGAATAAGTAATTAAGGAGTGATAGAACTAGAAAATCATAAATTTGCATATCTAATGCAATAGAATCTAGGCAATGATCATCAATGGTTTAGGAGAAGGGTTAATGAGACACTTTATAATGGCCAACATGGGCAACATCTCTACAAAGATAAAAACTAGCTGGTGTGGTGGTACACACCGTAGTCCTAGCTACTTGGGAGGCTGAGGCAAGAGTATTGTTTGAGCTCAGGAGGTGGAGGCTGTAGTGAACTATGATTGCACCACTGCACTCAGCCGGGGTGACAGAGTGAGACCCCGTCTCCAAAAAAACCCACAAACCGTATAATGGATGGGTCAGTCTGACATCACCTGAACCCACTGAAAGTGGAACAGTGAGGCATGATGTGCCACATGAGATGATGCCATCTCCACAGCTCCGCTTATGAAATAGTCCTGTCAAAAAATAAATAAAAATCTGGCTGGGCACGGTGGCTCACACCTGTAATCCCAGCACTTGGGGAGCCCAAAGCGGGTGATCACCTGAGGTCAGGAATTCCAGACCAGCCTGGCTAACATGGTTAACCCCGTCTGTACCAAAAAATACAAAAAATTATCTGGGCATAGTGGTGCGTGCCTGTAAATCCCAGCTACTCGGGAGGATGAGGCACAAGAATTTGCTTGAACCTGGGAGGCGGAGGTTACAGTGAGCTGACATCATGCCACTGCACTCCAGCCTGGGCAACAGAGCGAGACTCCGTCTCAAAAATAAATAAATAAATAAATAAATAAATAAATAAATAAATAAATAAATAAATAAATCTATCTAAATTTATTCAAGCCTCCTAGCTCTTATTAGCTTACAGGGGAAAAAAAAAGAGGACAAAGAGGAGTATCTTTTTATTTTTTGTGGAGATGGGGTTTCACCACATTGCCCAGGCTGGTCTCAAACTCTTGGGCTTGAGTGATCTGCCTGGCTCAGCCTCCCATAGTGCTGGGACCACAGACGTGAGTCATCTGTGCCTGGCTCAAGAGGAGCATCTTAAACACCACTCTGAGGATACGGTCAGCCAAATATAGAATGGGGGCAATTCTGTAGGAAAAATTATTGTTCATCAATAAGTAGCACTGAAAGAATAGAGGAGCTGTTAGAGATTAAGAGAAACCTGAGACACACAGCAACTAAATACAATTTGTTTATCTCAGTTGATTCCTGATTCAAACCAACCAAAGAATTTTTGAGGCAATTGGAGAAAACTGTCCATGGACTGGATAATTGATAAGGAATTATTGTATACTTTGTGGGATATCATGGTATTGTGATCAAGTTGTTAAAAATTCAGTCCTATTTCTTAGAGACACATACAGAAGTATATACAGGTGAAACTAAATTGTCTGGCACCAGCTTTAAAAATACCCTAGGGGATGGGGGAAAGGGAAAGATGAAACAAAGCAGCAGAATGTTAATAACTGTTGCAGCTTGGTTCTTTATATCTGGCTCCCTACTTGTGTATATTTGAAATTTTCCGTAACAAAAAAGTTAAATGTAGAACATTTTTTTAAAATAGGTAAAACAAGCCCTTGCACAGGTTATTAACGGAACTGAACTCTTGGGAATTTAAGGAACTGGAAGGCCAGTCGAGGTTGGAGGCATCGGGGAGATGGCAGGGCAGGGAAGACTCTGAGTTTGACCGGACCTGGCACGAGGGTGGAGGAGAGGGGAAGGGGCATGAACCAAGGCACAGTGGGGTCAAAAGCCTCATCGTGCACATGCCAAGTGCATTCCCTATTCCCATGCTGTGGGTGATGGGTGCTTGTTCCATCTCCTGGCCACACTATGGGTTTTTTTTTTTTTTTTCATTTTTTGAGATGGAGTTTCACTCTTGTCACCCAGGATGGAGTGCAATGGCACGATCTCGGCTCACTGCAACCTCCACCTCCTGGATTCAAGCGATTCTCCTGCCTCAGCCTCCCGAGTAGCTGGGATTACAGGCACGCACCACCACACCTGGCTAATTTTTTATATTTTTAGTAGAGACAGGGTTTCATCATGTTGGCCAGGCTGGTCTCGGAACTCCTGACCTCAAGTGATCCACCTGCCTCAGCCTCCCAAAGTGCTGGGATTACAGGCGTGAGTCATCATGCCCATCCCTACTCAGGGGTCTTTTAGAAGGAAAATGCCACCATTGCCCCACACTTCAGACTCTTTCTGACCCCCTCTCCCCAACTCCGAAACCCCCCAGTCCAAGGTGCAGCACAACCCCCCACAATTGGCAATTGACACAAAGAGTGCTGGTCTATGCCTCCACCTGCTGGTGGCCACTGGGAAGTGAAGCTGTCAAAAGCCAAAGGGCTCCCTGAACTGAGAGTTAAGAATGTTGTAGAAAGATCAGGTCTTTCCCCCTCCTAAAAGAAACACATGCCAATAAACATATAAGAAAGCCTTTAATTTTGTCACCATAAACATTATACTCTGATTGCTCACTTACAGTATAAAATATTCACCCCGCTAAATAAATAAGACGACATTATTGCAAACGGCACTTAAACCCCCCCTGAGAGATAAGACCTCCCTTAGCTCAGGCAGGGGGTGCTCCTGAGTTTCTGTGTGAGATTCCCCAAGCACAGATATACTCTGGGGGCTGAGATGGACAAAGGCTTGGGAAACCGCACTTTGTGCTTCTGGTCCTGCAGTAGCTCCAAACAGGGTTGTGGAGCTGGTGGGGAAAGTTGGGGGTAGGGGAAAGTTGGGGGTAGGGGAAATTTTGGGCAGTGCCTTCATCAGCCCAGTCCTAGAGAGAGTAGAGGGGAGTGGAAGTGGGGGGAACCAGGCTGGGCCAAGAGAAGAGGGGTGGTTAGGGAAGCCGTTGAGACCTGAAGCCCCACCCTCTACCTTCCTTCAACACCCTAACCTTGGGTAACAGCATTTGGAATTATCATTTGGGATGAGTAGAATTTCCAAGGTCCTGGGTTAGGCATTTTGGGGGGCCAGACCCCAGGAGAAGAAGATTCTGGCAATGATCAGCCCAATGACCAGCTATCTCAGGGGACCTGATTGTTGGGGATCCCCCACCCTACCCAAATATTAGACACCAACACAGAAAAGCTAGCAATGGATTCCCTTCTACTTTGTTAAATAAATAAGTTAAATATTTAAATGCCTGTGTCTCTGTGATGGCAACAGAAGGACCAACAGGCCACATCCTGATAAAAGGTAAGAGGGGGGTGGATCAGCAAAAAGACAGTGCTGTGGGCTGAGGGGACCTGGTTCTTGTGTGTTGCCCCTCAGGACTCTTCCCCTACAAATAACTTTCATATGTTCAAATCCCATGGAGGAGTGTTTCATCCTAGAAACTCCCATGCAAGAGCTACATTAAACGAAGCTGCAGGTTAAGGGGCTTAGAGATGGGAAACCAGGTGACTGAGTTTATTCAGCTCCCAAAAACCCTTCTCTAGGTGTGTCTCAACTAGGAGGCTAGCTGTTAACCCTGAGCCTGGGTAATCCACCTGCAGAGTCCCCGCATTCCAGTGCATGGAGCCCTTCTGGCCTCCCTGTATAAGTCCAGACTGAAACCCCCTTGGAAGGCCTCCAGTCAGGCAGCCCTAGAGACTGGGGAGAGAGGAGAGGGACGCCCCAGCCCCCAGCTGTGCAGCTACGCACCTCAGCAGCACAGGGTGGCAGCAGAGAGCCACATTACTTTGGCAGCAACAGAAACTGGCGGCCAGCCCGGCAGCCCCATGGGGCTAACAGGAGCGGGGAGCTGGGACCCAGTGAGGCAGGCCCTCCACCCCAATGTGCTGGAAGTTTTCTACGCTGAGTATTTGGCCAAGTCGCTCTTGTCAAATACTACCTGTGTAGCAAAGTAAATGGCGACCAGACCCAGGCCTGCGGCAGACACCATATAGGCAGTGACAGACTGGCTGAGCTGGACAATGGAGCCCATAAACAGGGATGGGGCCACCTGGGACAGCAGGAAGGCACTATCCAGGATGGCGAGGTCCAGGCAGATGCCCCGGCCCGGAACCACCCTGGCCTCGGTGGGCTCACCCACCACCACACGTACGGAGACATCACAGGCAGAGGCCCCGCAGAGCGCGGGTGGAGGTGGGAGCAGGCCACTGCCTCCAGCACCCACGTGTCCATTAGGGAAGGGAGCTCCAGGCTTAGGGCCTGGCAGGAAGCTGGTCATCAGGCTGTCCTCACTGCTAGCACCTCCAGTGTCCCCTCGGTATTTGGGCAGGAACACCTAAGGCAGAGGGGTGAAGAAAAGGGGAAGAGGACAGGTGTGTACCCAGCACTGGCACCACCCCAGCTGTGAGAACAGACCCTTGCCTCCATCCCAGGGGCAATGGGACTTCATGAGAATCAGGAGCAGGAGAGAAGATGGAGACCCTACTTGGTCCAAGTCTAACCAGGACCCTTCCTCAGGAGTGGGAGAAGGGTAACGGGGTAGGGCGGGGACAAATGTGAACCCAGAAGTCTAGGTCTCCTCTAGCCTCTTAGAACAGGTAAGAGGCAGACAAACTCAATATCACAGATCAGAGAGAACAGAGCTCCAAGGTAAGGAAAAGACACAGGGGGAATGAAGACGGTGGTAAGAGATGCACAGAACAGAGGAACAAAAGCCAAGGCAGGGCCCCTGATGGCCCAAACCCCACGCAGGCTCTCCTAACCTTCCTTCCTGCCTGCCCTCCACTCCGACATCTGGAAATCCTCATTGCCCGGTGCAGAGAAGCTCTGCCTCTCTGGGGTCCCAGATGCCACTAGGGTAGCTGCCCTGCCATGAGCTCCCTTGTCCCCAGCCTTGGGGCAGGGAGAATCCAGTAGACCCCAAGCAGGAGGAATGTCCCTCTTCCCACCTCCCCCAGCCCCAGCTGTGCTAATGTTGAAGGCTTCTCACTTCCTTCCTGCTGTCTGACTTAGATCAGAGTGACTGGTCGACCACCATCCCCCCAACCCCTGCCCTTGATGGCCCAGAGCCTCCTATTTAAGGACAAGGCCAGGTCTTATCCAACATTGTCCCCATGCCAGAAGAGTTGAGTTGGCTGCATTTGCGAGGTGGGAGCCATGGCAGAGCTCAAACCTGACACCAGGGAAGCCCACGGCTCACCATGCAGCTCAACAAGTGGGCAAAGGAACAGGCAGACAGCGTGCAGTGCCAAGTCTGCCATCAGCTGCTGTTAGGAAGGGGCCTCCCAGGACTTCTCCTCCCTGCCTGCCACCCCAGGAATGTCCGCTGAGGTTGGAGTCTGGAGTGGTCCGAGGACAGACATGCTCCTCCATCTGGAGAAGATGGCTAGCCCCAGAACGTTCCCTGGCACGACAGCACATACTCAGGCCTGGCCGCTGATGCCAGCCCCCTGCCCCCAGCCCAGGCAAGCAGAAGAGTGAAGGCTGAAGAAGGTTATCAGTGGGCTAACAGGGGTCTCAGGGACCAGGCTCCCCCAACCAAAACCTTAGCCCCTCCCCTCCATACCTCTCACCCCTGCAGCTACCTACTCAGTTAACCAGCCTCTCAGCTACGAACTTACCTACTCCTCTCCTCAAGTGCTACGAGACGCAGGGGCAGGTCTTCCCTACAGTCTGAGAGCTCTATGAGAGCAGTCCTGCATCTCCTCCTCCCTTGGGACACCCCAACTTCATGCCCCTCAAGGCAGAGTCCAGCACCCAGGTTTGTAGCTCAGTGAGGTCAGTGGAGGGGACAAGGATGACCACACTACCTGGGTTAGGTGGCTTCCCAAGGAAAGGGGCCCCTGGAGGGGCTGGTTAGTGTAGGGCCAACCAAGAAGGAGGTCCCCACAACTTACACAGTGCCCAAGTGAGTGGGTCAGGTGTCAAGCTCAGATATCTGCCACAGGGGAAGGGGAAGGGGAAGGAGAAAGGGAAGGAGGCAAAGGAGGGATGCAGGAAAAGAAAAGGGAATTAGACAGAAAAGAAAAATAAGCCAGAAAGAAAGGGGGTAGGAAGGAGCCTGCCCCATCTCAGAGACCAGAGTAGGATACAGGCTAAGTCAGGTTGCTGCTCCCTGAAGAAAGGTGTTGCTAAGGCTGGACCATTCCCACTCCCGTCTGCTGAGGCTGAATGGCCCAGGGGTCATCTGATTCAGCGCCCTGCCTCTCCATAGAACAACCAGCCTAGAAGCCTAGGGCTCCTGCTGGCCTGACCCTTCGGGATTCCCACTATCGTATTTTGCATTTCCTGCAATCATCCATTCAAGTGCTACACAGTCCTGACCCCAGGAAGTCATTCCCAGAATCTAATCTACACTGTTCTGCAGCCCAAGCCTCTGGCCCTGGGGCTAGGATAAGCTTCTTCTCTGATTCAAAGAAGCATTCTCCAAAGTTGCTTGCCAGATACCAGGTTCTGAGCTAGTTGGCCTCCCAAAAACCCAGACCACCCCTCCCACCCTGACTCCACCCACTGGCCAATGAGTACCTGCTTCTCCCGGTGGTAGAGGGAGGCCAGTGTGTAGGGCAGGATCTGCAGGGCTGAGAAGGTGAACCCGGTGAGGGCGGCTGAAGCTGTCACCACGGCCACACTGTGGGACAGGCATGTGGCACCGGCAGCCACAGGGAAAGCTGCCACACTGGCCAAATAGACTGCTCGAGTGCCGAATCGCTGCACCAGCCGGTCCATGACCAGAGAGAAGACCAGGGAGATGGCGCACTGCAGGAACAGCCCCAGGCTGCCCATCCGAACGCCTGCAGAGGGAGAGGGGCCATCAGACAGAGCCTGGGAGGGAAGGGTCGGAGCAGTCTCAGGGAGATGAGAAGGCGGAACCACAGGTACCTGCTGCACGAGACCTGCTGTGGACCAGCCCTGCTCCCCAGCACCCTTCCCCTTTCTACCTCTAGCAATGGGAGTCTAGGTTCTTCCACTGACCCTCAGAGAATGTGGGCAACGCCCCTTGCTGAAGGCAGAGGAAGGTAGTCTGAAGGTTTCCTGGGAGTCTCAGCTGTGAGGACAGGCGGGTGAGAGGGAACACAAAGACAGCTGGCCATAGGCTTCAAGACGCTTCTAGGACGCCTGAGCTGGAAGGCGCTGGTGAGATTATTTGGAAAGTCGTTGGGGGAGCAGAGGGCACACTGCGGCTGGAACCAGGCAGATCTGAAATCCAGCCTTAACTCCTCCACTCCCTCTAGACTTTGAATAAGCTCCGCCTTTCCTTCTGTCAAACTGGGGCAACGACTCTGATCAGACTCCTAGAGCAGCCAGAGGCCTTCCTGAAACCGCAAGCAGAGATGTTCCACACCCATGAGAAGCCGTGTATGCAGATGGGGTCCATCCCCACTTTCCTGACAGAGAAGTCGGGGCCAGGATGGAGAGGCACCAGCCCAGACACAGCCCCGAGTGTCGTCTCTGGTGGGCGGCTCCCACACCAGCCTCTGCTGGCTGCCAAGGCCTTACCTTCATCATAGTGTCTCCGGGCCTCGGTGCCCGGCTCAGCTCTGGGCACGCCCTGGTACAGCCCCTCGCCCACGAAATCCGTGTAAAACAGCGTGAAGGTCATGAGTGCCATCCAGCTGCACAGCTCAGCCACGAAGAGCCGGCGCAGGGTGCGGGGCATGCGGCAGCACAGCTGGTGCAGCCGGGGAAGCAGGGCGCCCAGGTTCCGGAAAGCCAAGCGGGCCCGGCATGGACAGCAGTGGGGCGACAAGGAGGGGGCCGACAGCCCTTCTGCTGGCTCGGTGGGGCCCAGCGCTGCCTCCTCAGCCACCAGCAGTGTGGCTGCTACGCAGGTGAGGAAGATGAGGGTGAGCAGGCCAAAGAGGCACTCCTCCTGGGTGCCCAGGTAGGGGGCCAGGGCACTGGTGTCCCAGTCAATGGCAGGCAGGAGGTAGCCCAGGCAGCCCCCAAGACTGATCATGAAGGCATAGACAGAGTAGGCCTGGCGACAGTGGTCCGGGTCCCGGAAGAGGTCAGAGAGCAGGGCCTCCAGTGGAGTGAAGCACACCTGGCCACAGAAGTCCAGCAGCCCCACGCCCAGGATGAGCAGTGCCAGCTCCAGGGGCCTGGGATCCGGGCACAGCAGCCCTGCTAGCCAGCCGGCCCTTGGGATGAGAAAGAGGCTCAGCAGGATGCCCAAGGACAGTGCCCAGATGAAGGGCCGGCGGCGGCCATAGCGTCCACGCCAGTGGTCACTGGCTGAGCCTAGGAGCGGGACACAGACCAGGCCCAGCACTGGACCAATGCCTGCAAGAAGGGAAGTAGTATGAGTCAATGGCTGGGACAAGTAAAGGGCAAGGGGAAGGGGAACCAAGCTCCGTGAGAAGGATGGAAATAACATTCCGTACTCGACACTGTGCTACGTCTTCACAGGGATGCTGTAATTTACTCCTCATAACACAGGCATTACAGATGCCCCCATTTTCAGATGGACAAACTGAGGCATGGAGCAACTAAGAAGTGATACTTATTCAAAGGCGCAGACCTAGGGAGGGTAAGAGGCAGCGTTTCAACAAGCAGTGTGACTCCAGAGCCTGCAATCCTCACAGGGGCCCCTCTTCCTGGGGGTGAGGGGTTGTCACACAATGGTTACTACTTGCCTTCTGTGGCTTTTGTAGAATTTATCTGCAGAGTCAGGAGTCCACCCCTTGTCCTAGGGGTAGGAGCAAGCTCCGGCTGGGAGACCTTGATGGAGTCCCAGCTCTACTGTTCAGCTGCTATTTGGCTTTGGCTAAGACTTACCTAACCTCTTAAAAGCCTCTGCTTCCTTCTCTGTAAAATGGATCACCTCAAATGGTGGTTGTAAGCATTAAATGAGATAATCGCTATAAATTATAAAAGGGCTAGCCAAAGGTTAGGAGCATTTCTCCAGTGTCTCCTATGAGCCAGGCTCTGTGCAGGACCAGGGATCCAGAGGTGACTGGGGTATGTCCTTGGTATTCTCTTCTTTCTCTTGGTGTGCCCCCTCAGCCCAGGGTCACCCTCCTGCCCAGCAATGCCTTCCCAGCAGACCACCTCTCCCTCCAAGCAGCTCCCAGGGCAGAGGTACTCCTGTCCCACATGCCAGGTGGCATGTATCTGGAACAGGAAGGAAGGAGGATGTAGTGACTCACCCAGCACCATGGTCATGAACTTCTCCTCTACCCCCACTTCCAGCAGCAGAGGCGGCACATAGGTGATGCCTGCGGCCAAACACACCTCCAGGCCAAAGGTTAGCAGGTTGACCAGCAAGAGCTGGGCTTTCCGGTGCCGCAGCAGGCGGCTCACCCACAGCCTCTGGACCATAGTGGGCCAGGCGGGTAGGGCTCAGGGGGCCGTTCAGGCACTCCAGAACTGCTTCGTCTCGGCTCTGCTCCAGAAGCTGCGGCCTCTCCTCCTTGCTGCCGCCAACTGCCTAGGAATCAGCCAGGCGCCCATTTCTGCCAGCCCTTTGGTGCCGGTCCAGCTTCTCAGCCCATGCTCAACACCTGCTGCTGTGGGGCACCTCAGTGGGGACACGTCTCATCACTCAGATCCTAGAAGGGCGGGGCAATCACAAGCACACGGGGTGTTAAGTCCTGGGAGCCAGGTCTCCACGATTTGCTCTAAATTGTCTGGATCCTGATCATTCACAGGCTGGCGACTGGCCCTGTCACCGAGGTGCCACCCCCTTCTGCCCAGTCAGGAAATGCATGTTAATATTAGCCTACGGCTGACATAATTAATAAGGTAAATATGATTTTTTAAACCTCAGCACACTCCAGAGCCAAACAGATGTTGGTTATTCTCTGTTTTGAAAAATCTACAATTTCCCTTCCCTGTTAGTATTGGGGAGCGGGAGGGAGCAATCAAACCAACTGAATTTTTAGTTGCCCAGCTATCAAGGTGCCCCTGGAGACCCTCTGCCAGGCCTGGTTTGTTTGCTTTTGTCTTTCTACTCCCCAAACCTGGGGTGTTCAATTCCCCTTTGTTAAGAGTAACACTTCCTATTCTGCATTGCTTGGCCATGAGCCACACTGCACCACAACCCCTAACCCCAAAGACCAGGATGAAGGGGAAAGGGAGGAGAGGCTGTTTTGTTGGGTTGGGTTTTAACTTACAGAAGGCTCCCTGGGGTGAGCCTAGGCCTGAAAATCTCTCCCTTGAGTTTCTCCCTGAGTTCAACGTTCAAGGGGAAGAAACAATCCCTCACATGGCCGTCCAACTGTCATGGGAGAGTGGAGCCGTCCCCAGGTTCTAGCTCACAGGGGCATGAAACCACACCACCTGGCAATACCTGTAATGATACCAGTGACTCCCCCAAGCTGACAGGATGCCCAGCCACTTCCAGGGCAGCCTTTCTGTGCTCTTAAATGGCAGAGAAAGGAATTTTTCGGTGCTCTTTTCAATTTTCAGCAGAGAAGTCCCACACCCCTTCCTGCTAGCCCTGCCTCCTGTGCAGAAAGAACCATCCTGTACCTCCCCCGCCAAGCAAGCGGTCTCCAAGTCTTGCTTCCCGACAATACAGCCATTGCAGTATCTAAGCCTCTGCTTAGAAGTGACTATGAAAAGCTGGGTGCGGTGGCTCATGCTTGTAATCCCAGGACTTTGGGAGGCCAAGGCAGGCGGATCACTTGAGGTCAGGAGTTCAAGACCAGCCTGGCCAACATGGTGAAACCCCATCTCTGCTAAAAATACAAAAATTAGCCAGGCATGGTGGCAGGTGCCTCCACCACCCCCAGCCCCTACTCATGCCCTCTGCCAATCTCAGCACCTCATTATAAAAGGCATTTCAACTTATCTTATCTTTTCACACAATACTAAACCCCATGGGGCCTTGCATATTACAAAGCGTGTTGTGGGTGCTCTGAGCTGTGCCACAGAGAAATCAGCCAGGACTGAGTGTGGTGGCTCATGCCTATAATCCCAGAACTTCAAGAGGCCAAGGCAGGAGGATCACTTCAGCCTGGGAGTTTGAGACCAGCCTGGGCAACACAGCGAGACCCCCTCTCTACAAAAAATTTAAAAATTATCCAGGCGTGGTAGTATGCACCTGTGGTCCCAGCTACTTAAGAGGCTGAGATGGGAGGATTGCTTGAGCCTGGGAGGTCAAGGGTGCAGCGCGCAGTGATTGGACCACTGCCTCCAGTCTGGGTGACAGAGGGAGACACTGCCTAAAAAAACATCAGATGGCTATCAGTCCTGGGTAAGGTCTGTTCACTCCACCACCACCTTCAGGGGCTTTGCAGCTGGCAGATCATGAAGGAAGGGAATTGAGATAAGGCTGGGCAACCAGCAGCCTCCTCCCCTAAATCCTGCTCAGACTCACCCTTTGGGATGGGGCACACGGCCTCCTACGGAGGTGGCATGAGAAGGGGTGTAAAATACTGACCCATACTGTCTCCAAAAGGAAGGTGGAAGGCCAGACCTCAGTCTTAGCTGAGCTGTCATAGGTTCAACTTGAGCATCTCATTGCTGCATTTCCACAGTACCCCCAAGAAGGAAAGCAGGAGACAGCACAGAGACCAAGAGGCAGTGCTATCCAGCCTAAAGGGAGGGGTTCTGCGGCCAAAGGCTTCCAGCCCATTCCACTCCCCACCCTTGTTCTGGGAGGGCCCTGAATGCTAACCTGCTCTGGGTTTTCAGGAGACCAGGTCCTCCCTGAGCAAACAGAGACTTTGTTAGACCCAGCCTCGCCTATAACCTGCACCCATTCTCTAAGTCCTGGCTGCTCCCTATTGTTTAAAATAAATTGCAGGCCAGGCACAGTGGCTCACATCTGTAATCTCAGCACTTTGGGAGGCTGGAGTGGGATGATGGCTTGAGGGCAGGAGCTTAAGAACAGCCTGGGCAACATAGAAAGACCCTGTTTCTACAAAAATAAAAATAAAATAGGCCAGGTACAGTGGCTCATGCCTGTAATCCCAGCACTTTGGGAGGCCAAAGCAGGCAAATTACCTGAGGTCAGGAGGTTCGAGACCAGCCCGGCCAACGTGGTGAAACCCCATCTCTACTAAAAATACAAAAATTAGCTGGGCATGGTGGCGTGCGCCTACAATCCCAGCTACTCGGGAGGCTGAAGGAGGAGAATTGCTTGAACCTGGGAGGCGGAGGTTGCAGTGAGCCGAGATTGTGCCACTGCACTCCAGCCCCATGACAGTGCGAAACTCCATCTCAAATAAAAATAAATACATAAGATAAAAAATAAATAAATAAAAATTAGCTGGGCATGGTGGCATGCACCTATAATCCCAGCTACTCAGGAGGCTGAGGTGGGAGGATCTCCTGAGTCCAGGAGTTCGAGGCTGCAAGTGAGCTATGATCGTGCCAGTGTTCTCCAGCCTGGGCAACAGAGTGAGACCTGGTCTCTAAAAAATAAAAAAATAAAAATAAACCACAGCTGTCCAGCAACCATTAATCACCCCACCTGCCTTGCCCCTCCCTTAATCAAGTTCCCAGGCCCCCCAGGAATTAGCAGGATCCTTCTTAGCCCACATGGGAAAAAGACAAAAAGAAAGAGGTAAAGAGAAGAGTGCCCCCCACCATCCTCCTACAGCCCAGATAGCTCATTAGTAGCCTCCCAGTTCCTGGGGTGCCTTTCTCCAACGCCCCCCATCCCCACCCAGAGATTCTTTACCTGGTAACTTGGGGTTGGGCCAGGTGGGGAAAGGATTTGACTAGGAAGGGTGCAGGCTTCAAGCACCCCTGTATTCTTTGGTGGCAGAGTCCGTCCTCCCTTGTTTGAGTTCTACTCTGCCCAGCGGGTCCAGAGTCCTCTTGATACCCCCAGACTTTACTCTTCCCAGCCCGGAATTGCCTGAGAAGTTCCAAGCCCATAAGCACACACTACCCTCCAAAGCCCCCTTTTCTTATCCTTGCATGCTTTCCAGTGCCCCAGTCCCTGTCATTTCATCCCTCCTCCAGGGTCCTCGGGCTAAGGAGACCACAGAGGACTCCTGAGCACTAAGTCCAGCTGCTCGCCATCCCCGCTCCAGGGCCGCCTTCCCTGGAGCACAAACGGAGGAGCCCAGCCTTTCTCAGTTGTCAGGCTCAGGGAGGTCAGAGAACAAGAAGTCTTTCAGTACCACTTTTCTGGCCACCACTCCCATCAGCAGCCTCAGGGCAAGCTTCTTGCCAAAGCTTGCAAGTGACAGATCAGTGTTGGAACCCCGCCTCCTGCCCCAAGTCTGCGGAACTCCCCTGTCCTCCTGGGGACAGGGTCCAATTCTCCCTTACACCCTCCAGTCTTGGAGATGCTTCTAAAATCCTCCTGCCCTACTGCTCCTGGAACACTTTGGCAAAGACAAGATCAACCAGAAGAGCCAGCCTCAGAGCGTTCACCTGGCAAGGAGTGGGCAGGAAGAGGAAGGAAGTAGAGGGGCTGACCTCTCAGAAACGCAAGGAACAGGCAGCCTTCTAGGACAAGTCCCTCTCAAGTTCCAAACATCTCCCCTCCTCTCTGGGCCCAGCAATGCCAAGACAGCAAGAAAGCTGGAGGAAACCTAAGGCCTCTGGGAACCTTTCTGGAGCTCTGCCCCAGGTCATCCTTCCTCATCCTTGGGGGAAAAGAATCAAAACCCAGAGAGACCAAGGGCCGTGGGCAAGGTCAGTGAACCTGGATCCCCGCTGCACCCCTCCAGGTACTGGGAGATACATGCCCCTATGCATCCCAATATGTGACACCCCCAGGGCTGGCTCCCACCCCAGCAAGAAAAGGGGCCGGGAAATGTTTACCTAATGAATGAATGGCTAAGAGCAAGGGGTGGCAGTAGAAGCAAGGGTGAGGGCTTAAGTCCTCCTCCTCCCACGTGCTCGCCACACACCGAGGACTTTGCAGGCCCAACTCCAGAGGGAGCAGCTCCTATGGGCTCAAAGGTGGTGAGTGGCTCAGATAAACCCTCCTGGACTGGAAAGCCCCCACTTCAGACCAGACCCCAAAAAGGGAGTTTTGGGGGAAATGAAACTGAGCAACAGGAACAAACTTGGCCTGAACTTTGTCCAAAATACAGAAGACAGAGTGGCAGAGAAGGAGGAAAGCTGACCCGAGCCCACTCCCTGGTAGCTCCCTAAGGGAAGGGAGGGTCAGAGGGGGATGTATAAAGAGGTCTTTGAGGGCTTTCAAAGGGGCTTCTGCCACCCCGCATGGCTGAGGTGGAGCTGGGGGAGCAGATTCCCTCTACTGACAGACAGAGGCCCGTGGAAGCCCAGGCTGGGGGCAGCCCCCACCCCGGGCCTGTGTCATGCAGCAATTCTAAGGCTTCTTTATGCAGGCCAGCGTCAAACCCCACCCAGGCACATCAAACGGCTGTAGCCCCCACCCTGACCCCGCAGGCTCAGCGACCCTGCGTGTTCCCTGCACACTCACAAAGACGCTCTGCTTTCTCCCAGGCTCCTCAGAAGCGGCTCCTCTCCCCTTCACAGCCACCCCGCAGCCCTCCCCACAGAAGGGGAAATCGGGGGCTGGTGAGGCACGAGGAATAATGACTCAGCTGAGGAAAGCGGGTGGGGTCACCCTGGGCCAACCTCCCGGACACACACCCCACCAAGGCTGCCCTGCCCCAGGTCAGTGAGATGGCAGAGAAGGGGCAACCCCAGCACCTTGCTCCAAACTGAGCTCTCCAGGGTCCTCTAGGTTGGGGGCAGGGAGTGGACCTCTCAGGTCTGGGGGTTCCCCAGCCCTCCTCCCCATTACCCACCCCCTCCTCGCCCCAGTCCCAAGGGACCAATGCTGTCACCTTACCTAATGAAACCTGGCACACTGACTGCACTCCCCACGAGCCCCACCCTCACGGCAGCTCCACGGGAGCCTTGGGGACACCCCAGAAAGAGCCTGCACTAGCCAGGAGACCTGGAAATGAGCATTCTTGTGAGACAATGCGCTCCCCATCATGACAGATCCCCTTTGTGAGGGGTGCCATGTGCTTGGGCTGCTGGGGAGATGGTGGGAGGGACACGGCATTAGACAACCACGGCTTTGGTGACTCCCAACCCACTCAGTCTTTGATTCTCTGGGGCCAAATATTTCCAAAGCAGTGAGGGTCTCTGCTTTCCCCAGTCTTGCCCTAGAAAAAAACAGTGATTTGCAGAAAAAGCGGAGGCCCACGACTTCACAGGGCTCCCAGGGGAACCTGAGGACCCCACTCAGAATGAAGCCCCCCCACCTCAGGGACTCCTAAGAAAGAATAAGGGCCGGCAGTGGGACGGGGGACCCCAGCCCCATCCCGGACTTGCTCCCTGGTGCCTGCCTCCCCCAGGGCCTGGAGGCCAGGGATTTAGAGTTCGCCCTGCTGAGCTGCCTTTTCTTCACCGTTACTGGAAGCCTTCTGCTTAGCAGCTTGTCAGAGAGGGTGAGGGGGCTGCAGGCCGGGACACAAAGGGGGATTAGGGAGAAACCTCTCGGCCTGCAGAGTAATCCATCAAACTCTCTCCGGCTGCCAGCGCCGGCCCCTTCCCACTCAATTCCCCTTCCAGCTGCTGCTGGCCCCCACCCCCTCCGGCTCCTGAGCCCGTCACTTCGGGCAGCAAAGAGAATCCCAGGCCCTAGGGGGGCAGAGGGGGCACACCACAGACACTGGGAAAAGGGCAATGGCTCCCTCCCCCCACTCACCCCCAATGTGTGAAAACCCAACAGGTGGCTGTGGCGCGGTGGAGAGTGGCTTTTGTTGCCCTGTCTGAGAGCTCCAGTCCAGCTTTGGAAAGGAAACAAATGCCAGAGGAGATTGGGGGAAGGGGAGGGGAAGGGACAGAGGGGCAGTCCCTGGAGCCAGCACTGCCCTCCCCTCCCCTCTCCTACCCAGTGACAGGGATTCTGGGGCTGGCTGACCCTCACCTTGGCCAGAGTCAGTCCTGGACAGCCTAAGCTAGGGCTGAAGCATGGGGACTCTCCCAAGGGTCACCTGGCAATCCCATGGTGACAGTCAATACAGACACACATTCTGACTCCAGGCACCTGGGCCTCCCAATCACACTTAGTTTCTGAGAACAGCTGCAACCCAAGGTCACACTGGGCATGCCCTCCAAACCAGGACCAGCAGTGCTCTTCAACCTGGAGCTCTCTTCCACCCGAGGGACCACAACCCTCTGAATCCTGACGTCCCCAAACCCTGGCAGACTCTGCAGGCTGACCTGGGTTTGGGTGTCTGCCTGACCTGGGTTTGCATGCCAGCTCCACCACTTATTATAATTGCATGAGCCTGTAACTTGACCTTCCCATGCCTCAGTTTCCTCATCCACAATGAACAACAGCAGGCCGGGCACGGTGGCTCACGCCTGTAATCCCAGCACTTTGGGAGGCCGAGGCAGGCAGATTACCTGAGGTCAAGAAGTTTGACACCAGCCTGGCCAAAATGGTGAAACCCCGTCTCTACTAAAAATACAAAAATTAGCCAGGCCCAGACATAGCGGCACATACCTGTAATCCCAGCTACTCGGGAGGCTGAGGCATGAGAATTGCTTGAAACCGGGAGGTCAAGGTTGCAGTGAACCGAGATCATGCCACACTGCACTCCACCCTGGGCAACAGGGTGACTCTGTCTCAAACAAACAAAAAACCACAAACACGCACACAAAACAGAAAAGAAAACGCACAATAGCAGCCAACATTGAGGTTATAATACATACTAGGCACTCTGCCGTGCGTCTTGATCTTCCAACCATCCGATGAGGTGGGTACAATTAGTATACCCATTTTACAGGCACAGAAACTTAGATTAATACCACCAACTTCATAGATGTGGAGTGTGTTTGAGATACAGGATATGAAAGTTCCTGGCGGCCACTTCTTTGGTCGCCTCCTCAGTGGAGGAAGGGCTTTCTCATTCCCAAACAGGAGCGGCTGTGGTTAGGGGAGACCAAGTACACTTTCTTCTCGGTTTCCATTCCCCCCCCTCACCCACGTGCCTCCCCCACCACACCAGCGCCTCTTTCAGCCCCTAGCAGCAAGAGGAATGCCAAGAATGCAACTGCCTCCCCAGGTGCTGGCCCCAACAGGTGAGGAGAGGTCACTGCAGCAGACCTGCCTGCTGGAGGAAGGCTGAGAAGGGAGGTAGAAGGTGGGACAAAGATCCCATAGTTATGAGACAGCACGATTTCCATCCACAGGGAAAATGAACACAGTGGCCGACCCCTACTAACTGCCTCAGAGGCGTCTAGCGTGTGCCAGGTACTTGATATATTGTACCTTCTCTCTAATAACTCATACAATTCATACGCTCCAAATCCAAGGTAGGTGTTTAATATTCATATTCGAGATGAACAGCTCAGTCTCAGAACGTAACATGCCCAAGGTTGCACAAATAAACAGTGGTTGAGCAGAAAATTCGAACCATTTGAAAATGCTGGAAGGTGCTCTGAACTGGGAGCCAGGAGAGGGCAGTCCTGTTTCAGCCACTTTTTTTAAGAGCTGTGTAGCCTAGACAGGCCATCTCACCTCTCTGGGACTCAGTTTCTACACCTGTAAAATGAGAGCTAATCTGGATAATGCCGAAGGTTCTTTACATCTGTGCAACCAGGTGATCTCACATGCACCCCCTACCCCCGGCAGTTGCTTCTTCACGGGCAGGTACCCCCTAAGGGCTCACTGATGAGGCTACATGACATTCAGGAAGGGATTCATGTTCACCCTTGTGAAATAGGAATATAAAATCCCTACTTTGTATTTGGACTTTCATGGCCTCCTACCAATGAGTCAAGGGGAATGAGGTGGAGAAGGACACCCCAGCCGCACTTACCCCATCCTTCACCTGCCCACACACTCTCAGGTACCAACACAGTGCCAAGGGTCAGCGGTCACCTGAAACTAAGCCGAATAACCAGGACATCTGGGGGTAGAACTGCCCTCTTCCCTAGTCCTTCCCAGAGTTGGACTCTGTTCCTGGCAGAAATTAGTAACTGAATTCTCTTCTTGGGCCACAATAAATGCTTCCCTACAAGGTGGGGCAGCAGTACCAAGAAATTCCTTGGCCCAAGGTAGGGGAATATGAACATGGAGGGGGAAGAGGGAGCTTGGCACAGTGTCCAGGCCACTCGGAAATTCCTTCCCCCCATCCTGCCTTTTCGTACAGCCACTGAAAAGAGAAGCCTAAATGGCTTTCCTCCTACTGAACTTGAACTCTGCCAGTCAGCCAGGCTAGACAGCTCTCCCTGTCCATGTACAGCCAATCCTAGTCTTCCCTTTAGCCTGGCCTCCCTTAGGAGGTGAGGTATACAGGAAAGAGGCCAGGAGACTAAAGATCTATGCAAACCTACAGATGGGCAGTGCCCTGCACCAAGAGTCAGACCATGGTGCTGGTTCCAACTCTGCCATGTCCCACACCTCTAGGGTTTCAAACTCATTGGCCTGTAAGGCTTTATTAGATCTGAGTCCTAGAGTCTGTGATCAGTCCCATTTATAAAGAGAGGGCTCCAAGTCAGACTCAGTACTCTGCAAGTGTGTTCTCAAAAACAGTCACTCTCAGTGGTGAGCAAGGAAAGGGTAGGCTCTCAAAGAAACTCATTTTCTGATTTAAAGATCCCAAGCTTGCTGACCCTTGGAAGTATACCTCAGTGCATGCAACCTAACCTCCCCTAAGGGAATGTCAGACAGCACTGAAACCCACCTACCCACACCCAACACCACAGAGCCTCAATTGTGTATAAGCCTGCTGTGAAGATGCTGGGGACACAGAAAACAACTGATCGCAGCTCCCTTTGGCAAAAGGGATAAAATGCAATCGGTGTGCAATGAGATGGCACAGTGGCACAAGTGTGAAGATACAAATCCACGTGAGGGGGTGGGACCCAATGTGGGGGGCACATGCAGTTCTTCCAGGGCTTCCTAGAGGGAATGGCCATGTTGCTTAGCCTTGAAGGATAAGCAGGTAGGTACCACGCAATATAGGGGTGGGGGTGGGGGAGATCCCTTTTTCCTCCCTATCATAAAGGTCAGAACTGACACTTCTATAACGAAAGATATGGTAACAAGAGAAAAGCACAACAGGCTGGGCACAGTGGCTCACGCCTGTAATCCCAGCACTTTGGGAGGCTGAGGGAGGCGTATGACTTGAGGTCAGGAGTTTGAGACCAGCCTGGGCAACATGGTAAAACCTCATCTCTACTAAAAATACAAAAATTAGCTGGGTGTGGTGGCACGTGCCTGTAATCCCAGCTACTCAGGAGGTTGAGGCAGGTGAATCGCTTGAACCTGGGAGGCAGAGGTTGCAGTGAGCTGAGATTGCGTGACTGCACTCCAGCCTGGGCAACAGAGCGAGATGCCATCCAAAATTGATGCTGTTTCAAAAAAAAAAAAAAAAAAAAAAAAAAGAGAAAAGCATACAAATTTATTTGATCATAGTTTTGTATGACACAAGAGCCCTTAGAAATGAAAACCCAAAGACCCAGGGTGAAGTATCTTTTCTTTTTTCTTTTTGAGACTAGCTCTCATTCTGTTGCCCAGGCTGGTGTGCAGTGCACGATCTCAGCTCACTGCAACCTCTGCCTCCCGGATTCAAGCAATTGTCCTGCCTCCACCTCCCAAGTAGCTGGGACTACAGGCGTGTGTCACCACGCCAGGCTAATTTTTGTATTTTTAGTAGAGGTGGGGTTTCACTGTGTTGGCCAGGCTGGTCTCGAACACCTGACCTCAGCTGATCCACCCAACTCGGCCTCCCAAAGTGCTGGGATTACAGGCGTGAGCCACCGCGCCCAGCCTAAGTATCCATTTTTATGCTTAGGTTTGAGGAAGCACACACAGGATGCAGAAATGTGACCAGACAAAAATGGTATGAGCTAATGCTAATAGACTGAGTGGTGAAGCCCAGCAAGGCCTGTCCAGATTCTTCTTGGCCTCTCCGTTGCCAGATTTCTTCCTCCCAGGAATGGGGTAGGACCCCTCTGCAATGAGGGCCTTATGACCTACTATCAAACAAGGCAGGTCAGATCATTTCTTGATCACCAGTTCTTACCTAGAAAGCCAGGAGAAAGAGTAATATTTTTAGGCTGTATGGCTGGCTTTGGGGAGAAGGCTTCTAGTTTCTATGACCTGCCCTGGAAAAGAGGGATTCGCTTTGGCCTGCCTCGGAAGAGAATAAGGGGTAAGAGACAGGAGATCAGACAGAAACTTTGCCTCTGAGGCCTTCACTTTGGGGTATTGTTTTCTGAGCCCCAACAGCAGAAAAGGGTGTATGTCTGTAAAACAAGGCCCTTGGAGCCTGGGACTTCTAATCACTCCCACCCCTCCTTTTGGTCTCTCCCCAGTGAGGTGTGCTGGAAACAATACCGGACTGAAAATCATGAGACTGGGTTTTGATCTCAGATCTGGGCTGGCTATCTGCGTGTCCCTAGATTATTCAGCATACCTCCATGGGCACCCAAATAAGGGAATTCATCAGCACTAGGCTTGTTTTTGCTTCCAAGGTGGTCACCGTGCTCCAGTTACTTCCCCTTCCTGGACTGCCTGTCCCCTCCACCTGAGCCCTGCCCAGCTCCAATCTCACACCTCCTCCACAGCCCCCTGGAAACCAAGCCGTCAAGTATCCCCTCTCCCTGCTAAATCTCAACTGCTCTAACCAGGCAGCCCCCAGGGTTGGACGCTGCCCACGGTCCTCAGGGTCTTGGATTTGCAGTCCTTCCCCCACTGCCATCCTCCCCACTAGTGCTTCAGCTCCTGGAAAGCAGGAAGCACAGGCCCTGAGAAGAGTAGGTACCCAAGAGAAAGCCTATGGGTAAGGCTGAATCAGGATTCCCATTGGATGTGACTTTACCAGTGTGCCTGGGATCCAGGCAGGGCCACATTCAAGCTAGCTGGGTGCTCCGCTCACTAAGGACAGGAGCCAGGAGTGGGAATCTAAATTGCCACATCCCTAGGGATGGGCCAGGCACTCCTAGCTTGAACACTATTTGCCAACTCAAAGTACACTTGAGATTAGCGAGGCCGGGGGCAGGGGGGCACACAGCGACCACAGGGGAAAGACAAGAACTGCTGTTGTGGGCTGGCTGCTCCTGAGGGTATCCCCTCTGGCTGGGCATCCTGCTATCCTGGATATGGTGACTGGGGGACTGTGGACTACAGCGCCAGGAAGTGGCCTCCAAACCCCTTCTTGCTGGCTGGTCCCCACTCCCCAGAAAGTGATCTCCAGAAGTAACAAAGAAGGGGAAAGGAACAAACATCTATGGAACACCTGGCGTGTGCAGGTGCTTGGCTGAATATGCACATCACGCTTAATCCTCACCATAACCATGCAAGGTGAATCTCATCTCCATTTTACAGGCAATGAAGTCAAGGCCAACAGGGGAAGCAGGCCCATGTCCAACATCAGAAGCAAGAGATTCCACAAGTCAGTCAGGGCTGGTGGCAAAACTGTGGACTTCTTCCCGTGGAGGGGAAAACACAGACCATGTAGTAGAAAACAGGATTCAACAGGAAGTTCTGGCCAGGGATCAGGAGCATCCCGTGATGGCTCTGTCACCAGCTGCCCCCCTCCCCAGCCCAAGCAGGGACACTTAATACACTGGACAAAGCTCAACACTCCAGCTCTATTGCTGGGAGTCGAGTGGCATCAGTGTTCAAGACACTGGGCCTGGTACCAGCTGGTCCAGTCTCCACCCCTGCTGCCCAGCAAACAGGGCCACTAACTGTTCAAAGAAAGCTAGGCTGGGTTTTTTTCTGGACACCAAAGAACAGTGCAAAAGATCCTAAGGGTTGGGGAGGGAGGACAGAGCAGAATCCCAACTTCAGGGCACCCTCCCTATACAGTTTTCCTAAAAATAACAACAAATAACTGTTTGCATAGAAGGCTCTTAACTTCTCAGGATATACATTCATGTTCATGGTACCCTTTTCCAGCCTGAGGGGTACACTCTGGGAAGGTAGGCTGGGCAGGGGTTTCTGCACTAATTAAATAGAAGTCACACAGTAGCAGAGTAGTAGAGGAGAGACACGGACATCCAGTCCTGCTGTGATCTTTGCACAGGACCACAAGTTCAACTGCAGATGCGTCCTTCGTAGCTTACATATAGTTATCTACGGGCCGATTCCCTTGCTAAGAAACTCTGGTTTCTAAGTGTAAACCACAATGATTGGCTCCATTGTCACCAAATAACAGCAGCTGACATTTATCAAGCTCTTTTTACAAGCAGCTGCTGTGCTCAGAGCTTTACCTACATCAGCTTATTTAATCCTGGAAATACTGTGAGGTAGGTACTATTATCCTCATTTTACAGAGGAGGAAGTTGAAACAGTTTAAATAACTTGTGCAAGAGGAAATCAGATTAAAATCATTTTGCCAAAGCTCAATCTCTCAACGGACTCCCCAAAGTCCAGGAGACCTTGCTACCAAAGAAATAAGGTCTAGAGCAGATTTTTGTTTTCTGTTTTTTAAGAGCAAGGCCCAAGAGGAGAGTCCCAGGCTAGGCACTGCTGTCCATTCAGTCCCAAATGATCGATACAATATATAGTTGGTACTAACATTTATTGAGCACTTATGTGTCAGACACACAGTTTAGTATTCTATATACAATATTTAATAAAGCTATAATTTTTAGACTATATATAACGTAATTATATGTTTATAAATTTTATGTCTGTTATAATCTACTTAACAAAGCTATACAGTAAGTATTATCATTCCCATTTTGCAGCCAGGGATACTGAGGCTTGGACGAGGTTATGTAACTTGCCAAGCTGGTGGAGCTCACCTAGTGAAGCAGCCAATATAGAAACTTTCTTTCTGGCCGGGTGCGGTGGCTCACACCTGTAATCCCAGCACTTTGGGAGGCTGAGGCGGGTGGATCACCTGAGGTCAGGAGTTCAAGACAAGCCTGGCCAACATGGTAAAACCCTGTATCTACTAAAAATACAAAAATTAGCCAGGCATGGTGGTGGGTGCCTGTAATCCCAGCTACTTGGGAGGCTGAGGGAGGAGAATCACTTGAACCCAGGAGGCGGAGGCTGCAGTGAGCTGAGATCGTGACATTGCACTCCAGCCTGGGCAACAAGAGTGAAACTTCGTCTAAAAAAAGAAACTATCTTTCTGACAGTCTGGGTTTTTATCCATGTTGACTTATCAGGCTGTGACGTCCAGATGATAGTACTTAAAGTCTTCAAGTTAACTTTACTTTGAATCTTCAGACCAGCCCTGCCCAGGCTGAGAGCTCCAGTCTGGGTAAGGGGAGAGCTGGAGAGAGGCCTCCACTATCCCTCCACCACCCAGTGGCCTGGAATGGGCTCAGGAGACCACCAGGGATCACTGTCTACTCCTCCTCCTCCTTCAACGTTATTCAGGGAGCCAGGAGGGATGGGGAAGTTCACCACACACTCCATGAATACATAGGAAAACTCCCCCTAACACACACCCACTAAATTGGGGCCTGTCTGTCCACAGCTGTACATTCATCCACAGCTGTATTTTTATCTTCAAACTCATTCTGCTGACTCAAGCTGCATTTTCTGAGCACTTTCAGAACAACAGAGTCCTGGCTCCACGACAGGCCTGGTGGGAGGAGATAAGGGAGGAATGAGGGAATGGGACTGATCCAACAGAATGGCCTGCGACCTCAAATTGCGTCCCACTTATCCCCTACAATATGCTGCTCTATGGGTTTCCTCAGGCTTCCCGTCTAGCCTGGGCCTCCTGGGCCCTCCCACTCCCACCCCAATAGGCCAGCCTGTTTCCCAGGCCTCGGGCAGGTGAGTCTACACCAAGGCGGTCTCTGCTCTGAAAGGAGATCTGCTAAGTGCCTCAGGAAAGGTAGTCCGAAGCCCCTAGGACCTCAACCCCACCCCTGAGCAAAGGTTCCAGGACCCCAGCAAGGGTCACTGCGGGCCCTGGTCAACTGGCAATGCCCGGCTGCAGACTCCAGGGCAGCAAGACAGCAGCTGGGCTATTCTTAGTCCCTGCTCCACCGGGACCGGGTCTGTGTAACAGCTGAAGGGCGAGTCCTCACCAGGTACCCACCATGCCAAACCCCTCCCTACCCCCAACTCTGGCCCCTTGGAAAAAGAGGAAGCATAGGGAACACGCCCTGGAGTGGGGAAAAGCTGAGCAGGTCAAGAGTGTCTGTCAGGAAGATGGAGGCTGATTCAGAGGTCAAGGGCAAGAGCAACTCACAGGACTGCAGTGCCTGGGGGGAGCGGAAGACTACAGGAAGGCCTGACCCGCACTAGGGAGAAAGCATGCAGGTCCCTGGGGCTTTTCTAGCAAGCCTGCCTAGGCCCAGAGCTCTGAGAAGCTGCACGGGATGCCTAGGTACCACCACATCACACCTGTTTGCCGTTTGCAGAACTCTGTCCTTCCCCACCTGAGACCTGGGAGGCGAGGAGAAAACAGCGGCCTTTCTCTCCCCACAGAGGGGGAAACTGAGGCTGAAAAGGGGACACAGTAACACACACACACACACACACACACACACACACACACACACGGTCCAGTCCCAACTCTGTACCCAGAGCTCGCCCCAGTTCTAAGTCCAAGAGGGCTCAGTCCCCTTTCCCTGTCTTAATAACTCACTCTTCCTCAAGAAAGCCGGCCTGGGCCTGAGCACCCCGCGGCGCCGCGGCCGTCGGCTCCCGTCCCGGCTCCCCCAAGTCCCGGACTGTGCGCGCCGCAGTGACTCATCCTGCCCCTTTCCGGTGAAGCCCAGACAAGAGAAGAAAATAAACGCAACTTTCCAAAGAAAAGTCTGACACGGGAGGCTGCAACAGGAGCCAGCGGCCGGTCCGCCAGCCGTCGGCCCGGCCCGGTCCGGCCCGGCCCGGGGCTCCGGGGAGGGGCCGCTCCCCGCCCACACCGCCGCCCCGCCTGGGACAGCGCGGGCACCTCCTGCCTGCCCGCCCTCCGCGGAAGAAAGCACAGCTCAGCGGGGACCCGTGCAGGCGCCGGGCACTCGGCACCCGCCCCGGCAGAGCGTGTGGGACGCGCCCTCCTCTGGGATTCGCGCGGGGCTCGGCGCGCAGCGCCCCGGACGGCCACGGCGCAGCCCCATCCCGCGGGGCGCAAAACACGCGACAGCGCGGAGCTCGGCCGTGCACTGCTGCTCCCTTTCCCGCGCCGGGACCCTCACCCCTGGGAGAGGAGGGGGCGCGCTCCTACCTGGCCGAGGCGCGCGGCTGTCACCCGGAGCCAGCGCGTGCAGGCTGGTTCCGCCCCCCCTTCCTTGCCCCCCACGCGCGCCAGCCGGCGGCTTTTAAATCTCCAGGTTACTCCGCGGGGGGAGAGAGCATGCGCGCTGGGACTGCCAGGAGGGGGGCGGGGCGAGGCGGGACGGAGGTGGGGGGTGCTGCGAGGGGGGATAGAGGGGTGGGGCTGGTACCCAGGGGAAGAAAGCGGGAGGTCTCGAAGCTGGCTTTGTAGCCGCGCCGCGACGGGCAGCCCCCGCGTGGCTCCCAGACTGCCCTATCATTACCTAGGGCAGGGCACCGCCCCCTCTGTCGCTCGCCACCAAACATTTAGGTGAAAGCTACCCGGCTTCGCGGGGCACCTCCCCTCCCCTACTCGGAGCCAGTCTGCTGCGACCATTACCCAGGCGTGCCATTCTGGCCACCCGATCTCCAGGCAGAGCTGCTCCCTACCTGTCCAGGACCATCCCTTCAAAGGAGATGTCACATTCTCTCCGAATTACCCTTCTGCTCTTTGCTATTCTCCGACGCAGACAGAGCTAACTCAATCCCTCTTTCTGCGCTGAAAACCAAATTCCAATTTTTTTTCTTCTTAAGAGTGTGTACGGGGAAGAATGGATGATAAATTGCCAATGAAATGTTCTCTTTGTCAGCTGTTGAGCAAGGTCCGAACAGATACCTGTTCCAGAATGTCTTTGATGGAGTCCCAGGCTGGCCCTGGGGTTGGGGGTTGGGGGGCAGTTTTGTCTTTTTTTCCTCCATGGAGTTTTATTGGGTGGAGAGAAATCCAATTTAGTTGGATTGTTGACTTGAATACTACAAAGTCCCAGGAAGATGCCTTCGAAGGGGAAGACCTGGTTGGCCTTAGCCAACCAGGCACTGGGGCACTGGGTTCCAATGCTGGCCCTGTGTCAACAGCCGTATAACGTGGGCCAAGTCCCTTCCATGTTCTGGGCCTCTGTAAGAGGGGGTGAGCCAAATGATTTCTAAGGGCACCTTCCAGCTGAGAGGTAGAAGGAGGCAGAGAAGAAAGGGAGATAGAGAAGGGAGAGGAAATAGTGGCGCCCTGGTGGTAGTGGGGAACAGAGAGCAGGTGCCAGAGAGAGTTGAGAAGAGAAAAATCAAGAATCTACCTTCTGAGTCACTAAACAAGTTTAACTTGAAAACTGTCTCAGCGTTGCCTCCCTGGAGCAGACACACCTCTACCTGGGGACCCTCCTGGAGATGGCTTTCCAAAGTCTTTGGCATACCCTCTCGTGGCAAGCAGAGAGACTAGGGTGGAGTCCAGGGTCTCTGAGCTGGTGTCCCCTCTCCTCCAGGAAAGAGGTCAGGAGTCAGGGGAAATTTCAGGTCAGCTGGAAAATTACAGAGCCAGGAGAGAGTGGACGGTGGTATTTTGCAGGCTTGGGAAAGAACACTGGGAACATGAGAGAGTTGTCGCACCACAGACAAGTAAGAGCCCCCCTCTTCCTCCTGCCTCCCACCACTTCTTTCCAGGGGCCCTTGTGCTTTATGCCTTATGACAGGGGGATGAGGAAGGAGAGCTCAGGGGAGTGAGCACACAGCCTGGATCCCATGGTGATCCTGGGCCCTACCCAATCACCCCTTCCCAACTAAACCAGGTGGATGCACTGGCCAGGCCCCACCCAATACAGGGTACAGTAGGGCTCTCTGCTCTGAAAATCCCCCTCTTTCTGCTGATGTAGCCTCATGTTATAATAATAATAGTTGGCCAGGCGCAGTGGCTCACGCCTGTAATCCCAGCACTTTGGGAGGCCGAGGCGGGCGGATCACGAGGTCAGGAGATCAAGACCATCCTGGCTAACACGATGAACCCCTGCCTCTACTAAAAACACAAAAAAGTAGCCAGGCGTGGTGGCAGGCACCTGTGGTCCCAGCTACTCCGGAGGCTGAGACAGGAGAATGGCGCGAACCCGGGAGGCGGAGCTTGCAGTGAGCCGAGATGGTGCCACTGCACTCCAGCCTGGGCGACAGAACGAGACTCCGTCTCAAAATAATAATAATAATAATAATAATAGTTAACCATTACTAATTGTGCCAGGCACTGTTTCTAAATACTTTGTGTGTATTAACTCATTGAATCCTTAGCACAACCCAAGAGACTGGTACCATTTTCAGACAAAACAGAGGCAATTGGCCAGGTGCAGTGGCTCACGCCTGTAATCCCAGCACTTTGGGAGGCCAAGGTGGGCAGATCACGAGGTCAGGAGTTTGAGACCAGCCTGGCCAACATGGTGAAACTCTGTCTCTACTAAAAATACAAAAATTAGCTGGTTATGGTGGTGCGCACCTGTAATCCCAGCTACCAGGGAGGCTGAGGCAGGAGAATGGCTTGAACCTAGGAGGCGGAGGTTGCAGTGAGCTGAGATCATGCCACTGCACTCCAGCCTGGGTGACAGAGCAAGACACCATCAAAACAAAACAAAACAAAACAAAAAACAAAAAAAAACATAACGGAGGCAATTCCTCAGGGCAGTTACTTCACCCACAGCCCCTGATTACACAGAAAAAAACAGTCTCTGGGCCCCAGAAACAAGGCAGAGGCAGCAATCCCTCAGCAAGCCTGGCCAGTGACTTCAGAGCCTCAGAGAAAACCCGTACTACCCTCTAGGATGCTGTGGCATTCTGGGCAAATAACAACTTCTCTGGGCCTCACTTGTCCATGAGGTCCGCTGTAGGAAAACCACCATTGCCCTTTCCCTTCCTCTCTCTTCCCTCCCCCACCACACACACACACACACACACACACACACACACACACACACACACACACATTACTCCCCAGCCACTTCCCATTTATAGGAAATGGGGGATGATGTGAGGAGCAAGGCCATCCTTGGGGAACTGCTAATAGTCTAGCTGGATATTGGAGAAACCAAAGATGCTGGCAAAATGCATTAGCAGTCTCTGCCCCACCCCCACACACAGCCCCTCCTCATTGTCCTTGGGCTAAGAGCAAGCATCCTTCTCATTCCACAGAGACCAGATACCCAGCTGCATCTGGTTGGCCTCACGGAAGCCTGAGAAGTCATGAAGGACCTGGAGCTCCCTTGCTGTTCCCATCTCTTGCCATCTCCATCATCCAGGGCCGGTGGTCCACTTTGAGATGTCTGTGCTGTCTGCCTCAGGATGAGGGTGAGCAGTCTCTTCAGGCATAAGGGCCAGCAGCAAGGCCAAATCCTGGCTGTGGACTTGGAAGGAGGGATGAGCCCCCTGAACACAGCAATTCCATTTCTGGAATTTCTCTGGTGGCAAAATAATCAGAGATGTGTATATCAGAAGTATGTAAGAGTTTTTCATTTCATCATTCTTTATAATAGTGAAAAATTAGAAACAATTTAAATGTAGAATAATAAGCCATTGGCTAAGCAACTTATGGCAAATCCACTCAATAGAACACTATACTGCCATTAAAAATGATGGCATAGAATAATTTTAATAAGCTAGGCATGGTGGCTCACATCTGTAATCCCAGCACTTTGGGAGGCGGAGGTGGGTGGATCATTTGAGGTCAGGAGATTGAGACCAGTCTGATCAACATGGCGAAACCCCACCTCTACTAAAAATACAAAAATTAGCCAGACGTGGTGGCGGGAGCCTGTAATCCTAGCTACTTGGGAGGCTGAGGCAGGAGAATCGCTTGAACCTGGGAATCGGAGGTTGAAGTGAGCAAAGATAGTGCCACTGCACTCTAGCCTGCACTCAATTTTTCTTGAGATGGAGAGCGAGACTCCATCTCAAGAAAAATAATAATATATATATTTTTTGAGACGTAGTCTCGCTCTGTCTCCCAGGCTGGAATGCAGTGGCACAATCTCGGCTTACTGCAAGCTCCGCCTCCCGGGTTCACGCCATTCTCCTGCCTCAGCCTCCTGAGTAACTGGGACTACAGGCACCAACCACCACGCCCAGCTAACCTTTTTTTTTTTTTTTTTTTTTTGTATTTTTAGTAGAGATGGGGTTTCACCTGTTAGCCAGGATGGTCTCGATCTCCTGACCTCGTGATCTGACCGCCTCGGCCTCCCAAAGTGCTGGGATTACAGGTGTGAGCCACCGCGCCTGGCCCAATAATAATAATTTTAACAGCCTGGGGAAATGTTTATGATATTTTATTATTTTTTTTTGAGAGAGAGTCTCGCTCTTGGCACAATAGCAGCCGATCTCGGCTCACAGCAACCTCTGCCTCCTGGGTTCAAGTGAGTATGTCCAGCTAGGTTTTGTATTTTTAGTAGAGATGGAGTTCCTCCATGTTGGCCAGGCTGGTCTCGAACTCCTGACCTCAAATGATCTGCCCGCCTCGGCCTCCCAAAGTGCTGGGATTACAGGCATAAGCCACCATGCCCGGCCTTATGGTATACTACTAAGTGGAAAAAGCCAGCAACAAAATGGTGTACAGTGGGATATACATTTTTTTTAATTGTATATATACTAAGGCAACAAGATTGGATCTTGGAACAGAAAAGGGACATTAGTGGAAAAACTGGTGGAGTCTGAATAAAGTCTGTAGTTTAATAAATAGTGCCGCCAGTACTAATTTCTCAGTATTGTTTTTGTTTTTGAGACAGGGTCTTGCTCTGTTGCCCAGGCTGGAGTGCAGTGGCTGGAGCCGTGGCGCAACCATGGCTCACTGCAGCCTCGACCTCCTACGCCCAAGCGATCCTCCCACCTCAAGTCTCCTGAATAGCTGGGACTATAGGTGTGCATTTTTTGTACAGACAGAGCCTCATTATGTTGCCAGGACTGGTTTCACACTCCTGGGCTCAAGTGATCCTCCTGCCTTGGCCTCCCAAAGTGCCAGGATTGCAGATGTGAGCCATCAGGTCTGGCCAATTTCTCAGGTTTTTTTGTTTATTTTTTGTTTTTTGAGACAGAGTGTCACTCTGTCGTCACCTAGGCTGGAGTGCAGTGGCGTATTCTCGGCTCACTGCAACCTCCACCTCCCAGATTCAAGCAAGTCTAATGCCTCAGCCTCCCGAGTAGGATTACAGGCATGCACCACCATGCCTGGCTAATTTTTGTATTTTTAGTAGACATGGTTTTGCCATGTTGGCCAGGCTGGTCTCGAACTCCTGGCCTCAAGCGATCCACCCACCTCGGCCTCCCAAAGTGCTGGGATTACAGGCGTGAGCCACCACACCCGGCCAATTTTGCAGTTTTGATTATTGTAATATGGTATTGTAAGATGTTAACATTAGGGGAAACTGGTTGAAGGGCATATGGGAACTTAGTATTATCTGTGCAGTTTTCCCATAAATCTAAAATGATTCCAAGATAAAAAGTTGTTTAGGTATATATCTAAAGAGAGGAAACTATAAGAAAGGAAAGACATAACCACAATGTGGATACTGTTTTTTTGTTTGTTTGTTTTTTGAGATGGAGTTTTTGCTCTTGTTGCCCAGGCTGGAGTGTAGTGGCGCAATCTCCACTCACCGCAACCTCCACCTCCCAGATTCAAGCGATTCTCCTGCCTCAGTCTCCCTAGTAGCTGGGATTACACGCATGCGCCACCATGCTCAGCTAATTTTGTATTTTTAGTAGAGACGGGGTTTCTCCATGTTGGTCAGGCTGGTCTCGAACTCCCGACCTCAGGTGATCCACCCTCCTTGGCCTCCCAAAGTGCTGGGATTACTGGCGTGAGCCACCACGCCTGGCCGGATACTGTTTTGTTTTTGAGAGGGAGTCTCACTCTGTCACCCAGGCTGGAATGCAGTGGTGCCATCTCAGCTAAATGCAACCTCCACCTCCCAGGTTCAAGTGATTCTCCTGCCTCAGCCTCCTGAGTAGCTGGGATTACAGTCGCCCGCCACCCGCCCGGATAATTTTTGTATTTTTAGTAGAGATGGGGTTTCACCATGTTGGTCAGGCTGGTCTCGAACTCCTGACCTTGTGATCCACCCACCTTGGCCTCCCAAAGTGCTGGGATTATCTGCATGAGCCACAACACCCAGCTCGGATACTGCCTTTTTATGAGTGGAAGAATGACTTTAATTTTGAGGGGGTGCTAAGAGAACTTTTTTGAGTCTTTAAGTCTTCTATCTGCATCAAAAATTGCTTTTGTAAATAGAAAAGAATCAATAAAAATATTTTTAAAGGGCAGGAATAAAATAACATGAAGAAAGGAGAAAGAAAGAGGAATGAGAGATCACCATGGCAGGTGTTCCCCTGTGTGGACTGCAACACTCCACTTCCATCCAAACGACTGGAGTCACGGAGAGATCAGGAACCTGAACAGGAGAACCAGCCCCAGGAGCCTCCTTAACTGAAATGCTTAGGAAGGTCTGGTGAAAAGAAGTAAGATGGAACAGAGTTTGGAAAGGGTGAAGAAAGAACCTGCACCCAGCTCTCTGAGTTTGGGATACTCTGTGAGGACAGGACTTTTAAAATTTTTTTTTATTTATTTTTTTATTTTTGAGACGGAGTCTTGCTCTGTTGCCCAGGCTGGAGTGCAGTGGCGCGATCTCGGCTCACTGCAAGCTCCGCCTCCCGGGTTCACGCCATTCTCCTGTCTCAGCCTCCGGAGTAGCTGGGACCACAGGTGCCCGCCACCACGCCTGGCTACTTTTTTGTGTTTTTAGTAGAGACAGGGTTTCACCGTGTTAGCCAGGATGGTCTTGATCTCCTGACCTCGTGATCCACCCGCCTCGGCCTCCCAAAGTGCTGGGATTACAGGCGTGAACCACCGCGCCTGGCCTTTGTTTTTTTTTTTCTTTTTAAAGAGATGGGGTCTCCCTATGTTACCCAGGCTGGCCTCAAACTCCTGGACTCAAGGAATCTTCCCACCTCTGCCCCTCAAAGTGCTGGGATTTCAGGCATGAGCCACTGTGCCTGACCAGAGGAAGAAATTAAAACCGCTGAAAGGAGAATTGGACAGCTGCTTCTTCCCTGTCAAATCCCAAGCTTAGGAATGACTGTGACCTCTAGTTCTGGAGGTCACCCATGCCCCACCTTGACTGTCATCACAAGATGGCAGAGCCTTGGAGTTGCTGACAAATGAGCCCTTCACTACACAGCTGGTGACCTCAGGTTTGAGTGTTGCCCCTGCAGGGAAGATTTTGAAACAACAAACATGGCCTTCAAGGGCACTTTCTTCAGGAAATATCCCCCTGACAAATGAACATCAGAAACACTTCTGTAAAGGGATCTTTCCTCCCAATTTGAACCTCCTCCTGAGTCTTCCCCTTCCCCACCCAGACCTACGGGAAGTCAGAGAAGAGACCAGAAGTGCCTCCAAAGCAGAAAGATTTAGCTGAGCAGAAAGCAGAGGTGGTGAAATGCTGAACCCATTCCTGCCATGGAAATGTGTTGGCTCTTCTGCAGGCAAAGTCCACGCTGAAAAGAAATGGCTTCGGAGGGCAAACCTCCATCCGAGGAGACAGTTCGGGAGCCAGATCAGAGCTCAAGTTAGGGAAGAAGAGGTCTAAGGGAGTTTCCCTAAGGGGCAAGTCCCAAGTGGCTTTAAGCAGAGATTAAGCATGATGGGGACATTGTGAGACTTTCAGGCACTAGGTAAGAGGTGAGGCCGAATGAACACAATGGTCCTTTTCAGTTCTGAAATCCAATGAAACCCATCACAATCTCCTCTCAAAGACCCTAGTAGCTGGGTCTCTTAGCCTCCCATGTTTTAGAGGCAGCAGCAAAATGCCATGATGGTTCATATTTTAGAAACAGAAATTACAGGACAGATTGGGATTGGGGTTAGGCTGCTTGGTGGAGCTCAGTCAAGGCTGAGAGGCAGAGGCATAAAAGGTAATGCTATCTCCTTCTCCCTGAGGGTTTCAGGATAGAACCAGACAACCTCCCAATAAATCTCTAAATAGCAAAGACACCAAGGTAACTGGACTGGCTTCTGAAAAGCCTGGAGCGAGGAGGTGATTATGTCACTGTGAATACCGGGGATTCTACTCCCAAGCTCAGATGCCTGAGGTGCTAACTACAGGGTGGAGTTTGAGACTGGGGAGGGACAGCCAGAGGCGACAGAGCTCTGCCAGCTCCACATCCCCCGTGGAGATCTTTCCCCAGCTAAAATCACTGAGGGGCTGTGTGCTACAGTGGAGAAAGTGTGGGCTCTGGAACCAGACAGACCCAATGCCATTTACCATGCATGCAGTCATTCATTTCTCATTCGATGACCATTTAAGGAAATAACAGTTACAAGTCAGGCTCAGTGCTAGGATCGATCTAGTAACCTTATGCCTGTGAGTAAGTCATTTAACTTCTGAGCCTCTTTTTTTTTTTTTTTAATGCAGAAAGCTTTTTCTTCTTCTTCTTTGAAAAAGGGTCTTGCTCTTTTGCCCAGGCTGGAGTGCAATGGTGCAATCACAGTTCACTGCAGTCTCTACCTCAAGTGATTCTCCTGCCTCAGGCTCCCAAGTAGCTGGGACCACAAGTGTGTGCCACTATGCCTGACTAATTTTTTAAATTTTTTTGTGGAGACAAAGACTCACTGTGTCTCCCAGGCTGTCTTGAACTCCTGACCTTAAGCGATCCTCTTCAGCTTCCCAAAGTGCTGGGATTACAGGCATGGGAGCCACCTTGCTTGGTCACAATGAATGTTTGCTCATTCTTCTGTCTGTATAGAATCCTAAATGTGATGCTGTGTGGCAATGGGGAAGATCATACAAGATACAGTTTCTGTCCTTGTGGAGATGACAGTCTACTCTGGAAAACAGAAAGTTGTACACAAACGTGACCCAGCAACATGGCAGCAAATGCAAAAATCTCAAGGCTGCAAACCAACTCCAGAGGGCAAAAATGATCCGAGTTCAGAGGGATAAATCCAAGGAAGCAGGGTGGAGTGGGGGAAGTTCTGAGCTGAGTTTTTGAGGCCAGTTGGCTGGTGATGGTGGAAGATAATTACTTATTTCTGTGCTATACTTAAGGGCTTTACTAAGCTCTTTAATAAACATCGTCAGGTTTGATTCTCACAAGTACCTCTAAGGTAGGCAGGTGCCACCTCCTTTTACAGATGGGGAAACTGAGGTCAAGTGACTTGCCTAAGGTGGCATCTCTGAAGAATGAGAGCCTGAGGCCGCATCAGCTGGGTGTGCTCTGAGAGCCCTGAGTTCTCTGTCAGGCAGCAGAGGAGAGGGCTCCGCTGTCACTAAATTAGTTCTGCACCTCAGCAGTGTGTTACGGCAGCAGCAGCAGGCTCAGACAGAGCCCAGATCAGGAGGCTGAGGAGCTCAAAAGGGATTTGGTTGCTGGCTGTGACTCCACAGTCTTCAGAGTGGGGAAAATAAAAGGGTCAAACAAGGGGCAGGAGGGCGCAAGGGGAGAGGCCGAGAGGTCTCATTCCCATTCTCCCCTGTAGGGCTGACTCTCTGACTTCAAGATAGGAATAAAAGGAGGAGGAGTCTGCTACACCCACCATCAAGTGCGCTCACAGTATTTACTCAACCAGTGACAAGGAGGGCCAAACAAGAGGAAAAATCCTAGAACTGCAGCAAGACAGATGGGAATCACACTAGAGGAGGGACTTCCCAGGGCATCTGAGGTAAGGTGTAAAATCTCTGCCTTCTCCTCCCTAAATGTCCCCACAACTGAGTCCAGTGCAATACAGCCTGAAGATGATAGATGGGTGAGATGGCATATGGAAGCCCCATTGCAGGCCTCTGATGATGGGGGTCCTCCTGGCTGAGTAGCTTTTCCCATTCTGGAAGGGATGTCCTGAATGTGCTAGGAGTTGTGAGAGATGACTGGAATTCCAGTAACTTTTGGCAGGATTTACTACTGTATCTGGATCTTTGGGATTGAGAGAGGAGCAAGAAGCTGACACTGCCTACTGCAAGTGGCTATAAAGCCATTCTCACGGTCCTGATGCAATGCTCAAGATAAAAAGCAAGTGAGTAATTAATAACTAGGTTGTGAACTAACCTCTTGCTCCAAGGCATAGTACCATTTTGCACAATCCATCCAGGCCTGCGGGAAGGAGAGACACTGGCCTGAGTCCAGGTGTCTGAGCAGGAACACCAGCCCCAGACTCCAAATGAAGCTCCAGAGGAACAGAAGGAGTTGGTGGGAAGGGCCCCTCTGCTGGGCTTCAGGGCCAGAAAAGGGAGAAGGAACAAACACAAGTAGTGGCAGAGCACCATCCAGTCATGTTGGCCAAATGATGCCTCCTTTGTTCAGTAAGAAGTGAAGAGAGAATGCTAGAACCGCAGCCGGGCGTGGTGGTTCACGCCTGTATCCCAGCACTTTGGGAAGCCAGGCGGGAGGATCACTTGAGGTCAGGAGTTAGAGACCAGCCAGGCCAACATGGTGAAACCCCATCTCTACTATTAATAAAAATACAAAAATTAGCCAGGCGTGGTGGCATGTGTCTATAATCCCAGCTACTTGGGAGGCTGAGGCAGGAGAATTGCTTGAACCCAGGAGGCGGAGGTTGCAGTGAGCTAAGATTGCACCATTGCACTCCAGCCTGGGTGATAGAGTGAGACTCTCTCTCAGAAAAAAAAAAAAAAGAATGCTGGAACATCCCATTTGTTCCCTGGCTGTCCAGAGCTGTTGGTGCAGCAGATGAAACAGCACTTGCAAGCAGTCACACCAAGGTGTGCTTATCATGTGTACTGAGTCTAGAGGACCTGCAGAAGGCACTTGGTCTGCATTTGGAGCAAAGAGCGCCCTCCCTCTACCTCCCTTCTTCACAATACCCCGCCCCCTGCGACACTCCTCTTCCCATTTGTATATCCTTTTTTGTTTTTTGTTTTTTTGAGATGGAGTGTCACTCTGTCGCCCAGGCTGGAGTGCAGTGGTGCGATCTCGGCTCACTGCAACCTCTGCCTCCCAGGTTCAAGCGATTCTTCTGCCTCAGCCTCCTGAGTAGCTGGGTCTACAGGTACACACCACCACGCCCAGCTAATTTTTGTATTTTTGGTACAGACAGGGTTTCACCATGTTGGCCAGGCTGGTCTCAAACTCCTGATCTCGTGATCCGCCCACCTCGGCCTCCCAAAGTGCTGGGATTACAGGCATGAGCCACCGTGCCCGGCCTCCATTTATATATTCTTTCCCACGTTTTTTTTCTTCTTCTTTCCCATTCCCAGTTACTCTTTATTGTTTAACGCCCTCTTTTCCTAGACTTTTTTCTTTTCTCCTTTAATTAATTAGTTAATTAATAAATGAATTAATTTCAGTCTCTCCCAGGGCTTCCATGTACAGTTGTACATGTGATTCACTTCCCAAGCACAAATAGGCATGCCTCATGGTTGCATCTACCTTGTTCTAAGCTGCATAAAAGCACTATATGGACCAGCAGTAGCCCTGGCACTTTCTGTGGGCCAGGTATTGTGCCAGGCACATAGAAATACTTCCTGTCTCTCACTTCCTGTATTCCAGTGGACTCTTCTCCTCCTATCTCCATTTTACTCTTATGCCTACCCCCAGAATAGGTTTTCTGGAAACTTGGTGGAGTGCAAAGATCACAGACTCTGGAGTCAGACAGATTTGGGCTTGCTGGTCAACTCTGCCCTTACTAGCCTTAAACTTTGGGCAAATTGCTGAACTTCGCTGAGCCTAGGTTGCTTCCTCTGTAAAATGGATATTACAGTGTCCATATCACGGGCTGTGAGAGGATCAGAGAATGCTTGGTTTAGTGTTGGACATACAGCACTAAATCATCATTTTCCCCCTGCCCCCCAGTCCCTCCACACCTTTCCCCCTCTGTCCCCCAGCCCCTGGCTAAGGCCTGCTGCCTGTTTCTGTCCCCATTATCCCACCAGTCTGTGTCCGCTTCCCCATTTCCCACTCTTTGAAAATAGCCGTCCCTTGCATGGAAATGGAGCCATTTTCAAAGCACTTCCATAAGCGCCTCACATTTGCTCCTCGGCACTGAGAGTGGGCAGGAAGGGAATCGATTCTGCAATTTATGGGAGGAGGTTCAAGCAGTGGAGATTAAGTGACTTCCAAGAGCTCCATGGCTACCGAGTGGCAGGCCTGGACTAGAGCTTGGGGCCCACTCCCCTTCACACCGAGCTCCCCTTCCAAGGATAAAAGAGAAGAAAGAGAGTGGCACCTGAAGTCCACCACATTCAGAACCTCACCTCCACCATTCCTGCCTTGAGCAGCTGAGCAGCAGAGGAGGGCCAAGACCCTGGAGAAGCTGCAGCACCAGAGTGGGTGGGCAGCAGACCGCTATCACGGTCCAACTGCCAGGGTCGAACAGGAAGGCTGCGCCCTGTCAGAGATGCTGAGATCAGACCACAAGCATGATAGCATCTCCAAGGCCTCCTAGCTGTTGGAAGGGCCTTCCTCTTCTCACTCACTTCTCCTAGATTGGATACAACACCTTGGTGATAGAAGCCTCATCCCCATGGCTGGGCACAGTGTCTCACGCCTGTAATTCCAACACTGTGAGGCCAGAAGTTCGAGATCAGCCTGGGCAATAACATAGCAAGACCCCAGCTCTATAAATATATTTTTTTAATTAGCCAGGCATGATGTCATGCCTATAATCTCAACTGCTTGGGAGGCTGAAGTGGGAGGATCACTTGAGCCCAGGAGGTAGAGGCTGCAGTGATCTATGATTGTGCCACTGCACTCCAGCCTGGGTGACTATGCTTAGGTGTGTGCACATAGATTGTAGCTTGTTCACATGAATATTCCTTCCTGGGCTTTATAGTTTTAAAAGTGGTTTCATGTGCAGCATGTCATTTTGTCCTCACAATGACCTTGGGAGACAGGTATCATTATATGAGGGAAATGTAAACTTAGAGAAGTAGTGGCTCGCCCACGAAGCCACTCAGTGTTGGAACACGTCCTCAACTTCTAGTTATCCATCCAGATCTACTCCTAAGGAAGATGACCCAAGGGGGAAGAGGCTGCTGGATGCTTGGAACTGGGGATGCTGAGAAAGGACAATGTTCTACCTTTGTTACCTGAGAAGTCTGGTAAAACAGGACTTTTCTTCCCTGCAGGGAGCAGGGCAGTGGTGGGGGCTCGGCCCAGCCCTCCAGACTTCCCAGAGATGGTGGAGGAAGGACAAGGGGAAAGAAGGAAGCATTCAAGTGGTGGGCTGGCTGCACGGCCACACTCCTGCACTGCACTGCACTGTGCCCTAGCCCCCGCACTTAGGAGGGCAGCCGGTGTTTCCTCCTACTTTCAACTTCCTGTTCATCCCCAGTACCCTGGCCTTTGCAAGGACAGAGCCTTTGCGTTTGCATTTAAATTCCTGTCCCTTCTCTGCACAGCCCTGTGAATTTGCACACATACCCCCACCCCCAAGGCCACACAGCAGCCTTCTTCAATGTCGTTGGCTCCATCAGCCCTGGTGTCTCTGCCACACGAAGGGGGAGCCTCCCACGGTGATTATAAGCTCCCTAGAGAGAGAGACCTGTCATTAGGAGCAGACTTTCCACCTCCCTGAAGCGGCTGGCTCTCCTGCTTTTCCTAAGAATAATCTACCAGGGCTCTCGCAGACTGCCCGCCTACATGGGGCCTGCAGTGCGGATGTGCAACAGCCTCTGGGAGGAGAGAGGGTTCCCAGGGCTCCCACTTGGGGTGGGTCGCCTCTGTCTTGGAGAGCTGATGTCTGGAAGTCCAGCTACTTTAACCATGCCACCCTCCCTACCTTCTGGAGAAAACTAAGCCCAGGAAAAAGGGAGGTCAGAGGAGCTGCCACAGGGCAAGTGGCTCCTGGGGGGGCTTCCCTCTGTGGGGGCTTCCCTCTGGGGGCTCCTTCCCTAAAACGCTTAGGAGGTGTACAGCTCCCTCAAGCTCTCTCTGGGCTCCAGGAGGCTGGCAGTGCCTCTGCAGCCAGAGGTAAAACAGAACCTTCTGAAGCATGCAGCAGAGAGCCCTGAAAGAGAAACAGTCCCCTGAGGTTGGCCTGTCCTCTCCTTGCCACCATGCAGTCTCTTAGACAAGCTCCTTATTAGAATCCGTAAAGAGTCAGATGGGAAATATTGCAGGGGCTATATGGTCTCCATCGCAACTACTCACCTCTGTGCTTGTAGCACAGAGCAGCCACAGATAATACAGAAATGAATGGGTGTTGCTGTGTTCTAATGAAACTTTATTTATGCACACTGAAATTTAAATTCATACAATTTTCATGTGTCATGAAATATTCTTCTTCTTTTGATTTTTTTCAACCACTTAAAAATGTAAAACCATTCATCGCTCAGGGACCATACAAAACCCAGCAGTGTGGCTGGGCGTGGTGGCTCACGCCTATGATCCCAGCACTTTGGGAGACCGAGGCGGGTGGATCATGAGGTCAGGAGATCGAGACCATCCTGGCCAACATGGTGAAACCTCATCTCTAATAAAAATACAAAAATTAGCTGGGCGTGGTGGCATGCGCCTGTAGTACCAGCTACTCAGGAGGCTGAGGCAGGAGAATCGCTAGAACCCAGGAGGCAGAGGTCACAGTGAGCCAAGATCACGCCACTGCACTCCAGCAAGACTCTGCCTAAAAAAACCAACCAACCAAACAAAAAACAAAAACAGAAAACAAAACAAAACAAAACCTGGCGGTGGCCTGGATTTAGTCTGTGGATGGTGGCATTCTGTTTATCCCTCCATCAGGGTTGCCTCGTATTGCAGCCTCCTTAAATGAAGAGCATGATACAGTTGATTAAAGGAATGGAGGCAAGATTATTGTGTAACGGCACCCAGACTCTGTTTTACTATCTCTGGATAACCACGTGGATTATTTTTAATCCATATCTATTTTGCACTTTCATGTAATTCTCTCCTCCTCACCACAATCTTAGAAGCTAAGCGATAGCATTTCTGTTTTACAGATGGGGAAAATTAAATTCAAAGAAGTAAAGTAACTTGTCTGGGATTACACAGCTAATATATGGCAAACCTAGGATGCAAACCTAAACTTGTCTGGTTTATTTTGTTCCTATACTTGGTTTTCTAGTCTCCGAGGCCAGCGTTCTGCCCACAAATGGGCCTTCTCCAATCTCACTGCAATATCAGAGGGATTCATTTATCACCCAGTGAAATATTTGGCTGGGTGCAGTGGCTCACGCCTGTAATCCCAGCACTTTGGGAGGCTGAGGCGGGCAGATCACGAGGTCAGGAGTTCAAGGCCAGCCTGACCAACATGGAGAAACCCCGCCTCTACTAAAATACAAAAAAAAAAAAAAAAAAAAAATAGCTGGGCATGGTGGCGTGCGCCTGTAATCCCAGCTACTCGGGAAGCTGAGGCAGAAGAGTTGCTTGAATCCCGGAGGCAGAGGTTGCAGTGAGCTGAGATTGCACCACTGCACTCCAGCCTGGGCGACAGAGTGAGACTGCGTCTCAAAAAAAAAAAAAAGAAAGCCAGAGTACGAGAGGCGTAAATGGGGTGAGATAAGTGGGCAGAAACTAGACCATATGTATTTCATTCTCACACAACAGGAAGACATTAGAAGGAGTCAAGCAGAGGAGTAACATGATGTAATTGACTTAAAAAAAATTTTTTTTGAGACAGTGGCTTCCTCTGTTGTCCAGGCTGGAGTGCAGTGGCGCCATCATGGCTCACTGTAGCCTCAACCTCCCTGGCTCAAGTGAATCTCCTGCCTTAGCCTCCCTAAGTGCTGGGACTTATAGGTGGGAGCCACTGCACCTGGCCATAATGTACATTTTTATTTTTATTATTTATTTATTTATTTTTTTAGACAGAGTCTCTCTCTGTTGCCCCTGCTGGAGTGCAGTGGCGTGATCTTGGCTCACTGCAACCTCCGCCTCCCAGATTCAAGCAATTCTCCTCAACCTCCCGAGTAGCTGGGACTACAGGCACACGCCAACATGCCCGGCTAATCTTTTGTATTTTTAGTAGAGACAGGGTTTCACCATGCTGGCCAGGCTGGTCTCAAACTTCTGAACTTGTGACCTGCCTGCCTCGGCCTCCCAAAGTGCTGGGATTACAGGCATGAGCCACCACGCCCGGTCTACCCATAATGTACTTTTTTTTTTTTTTTGAGAGGGAATCTCGCTTTGTTGCCCATGCTGGAGCGCAGTGGCATGATCTAGGCTCACTGCAACCTCTGCCTCTTGGGTTCAAGAGATTATCCTGCCTCAGCCTCCTGAGCAGCTGGGATTACAGGCATGCGCCACCATACCCAGCTAATTTTTTTTGTTGTTGTATTGTTAGTAGAGACAGGGTTTTGTCCTGTTGGCCAGGCTGGTCTCGAACTCCTGACCTCAGGGGATCCTCCCACCTTGGCGTCCCAAAGTGCAAGGATTACAGGCGTGAGCCACCATGCCCAGCCCCATAATGTACATTTTTAAAGGTCATTTTGGGAGGTATAAATTTGGCTCCAGTTAGGACCTGAGAGGTGCCAGAGGCAGGAAGAGTAGATGAGAGCAGGAAACAGAGACTCGAGAGCCTATAAGCCCGACTTTTTTTTTTTTTTTTTTGAGACAGGGTCTTGCTCTGTCACCCAGGCTGGAGTGCAGTGGCACAATCATAACTCACTGCAGCCTTGAACTCCCAGGCTCAAGTGATCCTCCTGCCTCAGGAGGGATCAATAAAACCAGTGAAAAAAGTAATGATTGGCACAAAGAAGTTTGGAATAGAACAGAAAATGTGCTGTGACCACTAGAGTGGTGGGGAGGGCCTTGAATGAGGTGGAAGGGCTCTTTTAGACTGGCCACATCCAAAGCAAACTCTGTCTCTATCCTCCTCCTTCTATCTCCCCTACCCCATGCCCACTCTGGAGGAGGCAAGACCGGAGGCCCAAAGGGCGATGGGAGAGAGAACTGGCAGACCACGCATCCAGGAGCACAGTGGCCTGTTGCCCCTGGTCACCACCACCACTGGCTTCAAAGGCCAGGGGCTCTTCCCAGCCACATCTCTGGCTCCAGGGGGAAGCAGGAGGAAGTCAGGAGCTGGGAGGTGCCAGAGGCAGGAAGAGTAGATGACAGCAGAAAACAGAGACTCAAGAGCTTATGATCCCCTTCTGTTCCAAAAGACGCGAAGGGAGGTAACCCATGTTCAAAAGAAACAAGAGTGGGAACAAGGAAAGGAGGGTTCTATTTCCCCCCATTCCAGTGGCCTAGGGCTGGGGAACAGTCCCATGATGGGATCAAAAGGTCAAGTGTCTTCGTGAGATCAAAGGTAGCCCTGGGAGGAGGGCTGTGCAGGGCCAGGCACTTTCTGGAAGGCGTTGGAGGGACCAAGGACTTTGGCTGCTTGGGGTTTGGAATCTGAAGAGGGGGTGGTTTGGTGGATGGTTTGCATTTGCTGGGCTGGAGGAGAGGGGCAGGCGAGCATCTTGTCCAACACACCCTGGTAGCTGCTCCAAAGAGGGATGCACACTGTCTGTGTCAGGCCTTTAATAAAGTAAGGAGAAGCTCACCTTGAAAGCAGAAAAAACAGAGTGTGGAGTACCCAGCCAAGCAGTAACTGAACTAGTGACCCCTTGGGCCAAACCCTATTTGTGAATTCCTGCTCTGCTTTGAGGCAATCCCTATGCTCCAAAGAGGGGGCCTGCATCTAATTCAGTCCACTTCTGAGTCCAGTCTCCCTGCCTGAGTTCAGTCTGTCCTCTGTCTTACTCGTATGCCCCCTACAAGCTTTCTTTAAACCAAACTCCTTTTCAGAGGTCTTTCCTGACTAGCCAGCCCCAAAATCTTTTTCTTTTTTTTCTTTTTTTTGAGATGGAGTCTTGCTCTGTCGCCAGGCAGGAGTGCAGTGGCACAATCTTGGCTCACTGCAACCTCCGCCCCCCAGGTTCAAGCGATTCTCCTGCCTCAGCCTCCCTAGTAGCTGGGACTACAGGCGCAAGCCACCATGCCTGGCTAATTTTTGTATTTTTAGTAGAGACAGGGTTTCACCACATTGGCCAGGCTGGTCTCAAACTACTAACCTCAGGTGATCCGCCTGCCTCAGCCTCCCAAAGTGCTAGGATTACAGGTGTGAGCTACCAAGCCCGACTTTTTTTTTTTTTTTTTTTTTGAGACAGGGTCTTGCTCTGTCACCCAGGCTGGAGTGCTGTGGCACAATCATAACTCACTGCAGCCTTGAACTCCCAGGCTCAAGCGATCCTCCTGCCTCAGCCTCCTAAATTGCTGGGACTGCAGACATGAGTCACTGCACCCCTAATATCTATTACTTCTTTACTTGCCATTAGGGTGGGGAGGCAGAAAGGAAACTAATATTCATTCAGGGACTACTGTGAGTCAAGAACTTTATGTATCCTATTTTACTCATTGCTCAGGACTCTTATGAGAAAGATACTATTATATCTTCATTTTACAGGTTAGAAAATGTAGTCTCAGAGAGATTAAGTAATTTGCGCAGAACACACAGCTAAAAAGTGGTGGAGGCGGGGTTTGAATAAGGTGTTCCCAAAGCCCCTGCTGTCATCACTGTTAGAGCTGCTTCAGGATTCCTGTAACCTGCATGTATATCATTTCACACACTGTCCCATGCCATGTCCACTGTCACTCTCACCCATATATTATCATTTGTTCACTATATGTAATTTTGGCCTCCTGTAGTCCCAACTGCTTAATACTAATCATGACCATGCGTCCTTTGATCAATCCTTTCATCAGACTGAGCCTTGATTTTTGGCTCATTGTTCGTGGAAATGACCACCCCCCACCGTCATTCTTGCTTTCTTCCCTACTCCCACCTGGACTACAGTGCTAGAGCAGATTGTCCTGAGTCATTTCCAAGGAACACTGACTGAGGATCTGATGTGTGCCCGGCACGATACTGGCACTGGATAGACAAGCATGTAAAAACTTGATGTTCATATAAAAATGAACTGTCACATAAATGTCCATAGCAGCCTTATTTGTATAGCTCCAAATGGAAAACAACCCAAATGTCCTTTGACAGGTGAATGTTCAAACAAACTCTGGTACTAATATACCACAGATTACTACTCAGCAATAAAAAGGAATGAACTATATCTTTTTTTTTTTTTTTTTTTTTTTTTTTTGGACAGAGTCTTGCTCTGTTGCCTAGGCTGGAGTGCAGTGGCATGATCTCGGCTCACTGCAACCTCTGCCTTCTGGTTTTAAGCAATTATCCTGCCTCAGCCTCCCGAGTGGCTGGGACTACAGGTACACACCACCACGCCCAGCTAATTTTTGTATATTTTGTAGAGATGAGGTTTTGCCATGTTGCCCAGCCTGGTCTTGAACCCCTGAGCTCAAGCAATTTGCCCACCTGGCCTCCAAAAGGGCTGGGATTACATGTGTGAACCACCGTGCCCAGCCAGGAATGAACTATTGATTTATGCCATGACTTGGATGAATCTGTAGGGAATTATGCCAAGAGAAAAGCCAATCCCTAAAAGTCACATGCCATATGATTCCCTTTATATAAGGTTTTTGAAAGAAAATTTAGAATTGGAGGGCAGAATAGTAGTTGCCAGGAATCAGGTACAGAAAGGGGAATGGGAAGGGAGGAAGTGTGGTTTTAAGACGGCAACATAAGGGACCTCTTCATGTTATAACTGTTCAGAATCTGGATTGAGGTGGTGGATACTCACATGTGGGTGATGAAATTGTATAAAACTCAACACACACACACATACAGGTACAAATAAAACAGGAAATCTGAATAAGGTTGTTGGATTGTATCAGCGTCAATATCCTGGTTGTGATATTTTACTGTAGTTTTGCAAAATGTCATCAATGGGGGAAACTGGGCAAGTATACAAGGGATCTCTCTGTATTGTTTCTTATAACTGCATGTGAATCTACAATGATCTTAATAAAAAGTTTAATTCAAAAAAAGACTTGAGGCCGGTGCGGTGGTTCAGGCCTGTAATCCCAGCACTTTGGGAGGCCAAGGTGGGCAGATCACTTAAAGTCAAGAGTTTGAGATCAGCCTGGCCAACATGGTGAAACCCTGTCTTTACTAAAAATAAAAAAATTAGCCTGGCCTGGTGGTGCACACTTGTAATCCCAGCTACTCAGGAGGCTGAGGCAGAATTGCTTGAACATGGGAGGCAGAGGTGGCATGATCCCTCAGTGAGCTGAGATCACGCCACTGCACTCCAGCCTGGGCGACAGAGCAAGGCTCCATCTCAAAAACAAAACAAAACAAAACAAAATAAAACAAAACAAAACAAAAAACCAAACACAAAAGACTTGAAAGGTCTCCTGCCCTCAAAGGGCTTGTACTCTCAACTGTGTTTCCGGTTTCTTTCTTCTGCCTGTTTCTCTTATCTAGCTGAATGCCATCGATGCACAACAAATGACTGTCCTGATTTTCTTCCGGGAAGACATTGCTAAATGATTGGTGAAGGACCATATATTCAGGTTACTCCTCTTCCTGATTTCCCCAATCCCAGTCTCTTCAACTTTGGCATTTTATTTTTTTAAAGGAGAATTGGGAGGTGGGAAGCTCTTAGAACCTTCAGGATAACCCTGTTTCTTGTTTGTGTTTGACCTGTTCATGTGTATGATAGAGAAATAGAGAGGCAGAGTATGAAATTTTTGTGTTTTTTGGAGGGTGGGTGGCTGAAAGAGAAGAGGCCAGAGATTTTCTCTTGTGTAATCCCACATTGCCAGGCTCCCAGCTGACCAGCTTCCATCTCACTGTAGGTGTTGAAGAGACCATGGAACCACTGTGGGTCTCTCTCTCTCTCTCTCTCTCTCTCTCTCCTTTCCAGTAGTGGAAAGAGGAAAGGTGCCCAGAACCCTCACATCCTGGAATCTGCTCCATGAGTAACCTCTCTAGGGAAACAGCAGCCCAGCTGTTTCCTGGACCGGTAACTTCTCTCCCCAGCCCCCCTCACCTATAGTCCCCAACTGACTGTTTTCTGAAACCACCTCCCAGAGACTGTGCTGACTGAGGGAGGCCCTGGAGGGAGAGGAAGATCTTGCAGCCTTGTCCTGGGACTTCAGCCAATCTCCCCTGCCTCCCCCACTGTGTCCCTGCCCCCAACCCCAGCCAAGCTTAGAGCAGCCGGCTCTGTCCCCAGCAGCTGTACACAGCAGGGGTGGGGGACAGTCACACTCCCTCACTCCTAGGCTGCAGCTGAGGGGCTGTGAATAAAAAGCTTGGCTTCCTCAGGGGTCTGGTTGACATCCAGCCTGTATCCACCACCTAATCCCATCCTTTGCTTGGGTTTTCTCAACGTATCCATGTCCTGGCCATGCCCAGTGGCAGGTCTGGAGGCTCCTGCTGGCAGAAGGAAATGGTTCCTGTCTCCAGGTGGGGCCGGGCACCCCTCAAGAGGGTTGGGAAGGCAAGAAGTAGAAGCAGCTGCTTCCTTTTTTGTCCTTCCCAGATACCCATGATGAGGGGGCACCAGGGACTTGGGTTTCCCAGCTTAGCTGAGAAACTATTTCCTTTCATTAAAGAGGCATGTAATTAGCTGGGGGAAATGGGAGGACCCTGGAGAGTGAACACATCCTTTGGTGCATTGACAAGAGAGGGGCTCCAGAGTGATGAGAAGCCCCTGTTTCAGCCCCCCACCCTCCCAAACACACAAAAATTCCACACTCTGCCTCTCTGTTTCTCTATCATACACATGAACAGGCCAAACACAAACAAGAAACACTAGGTGTGCCCTAGGGTACATAGAATTCCAAAAATCTTGCTGCATTAGGAGCACTGTGCGGCAGGAGGCAGGCAGATGCAAGCCCAGCCCCAGCTGTAAGTCCTAGTTGTGCGTTCCTAGAGGTGCTGTGCCTCCTCGTGATCCTTTTCTTCCTGCTTCTAGTCCAGGTCTGGGTTGCCAGATGGACTGCAGTGGTCAAGGTGAAAAAGCAGAGGTTTCCTGGGGCTCCTTAAGCTAGGCAGGGCAAGTGGGGCCAAGGGTTGGGCTTCTTCTCTTGAAGGCAGCTTTGTCCCTCGCTCTTTGATAAGACCTATAGAATGAAAAACTCAAGACCAAATCACTAGAAAAAAAATTGTAGGAAACACTTAGATCAGTGTTGTCAATTGAGGCAATTTTATTCCCCAGTGGACATGTGGCAGTGTCTGAACACTTTTCTTTTTATTTTTTTTAATAACAACTAGAAGGCTGGGCGTGGTGGCTCACGGCTGTAATCCCAGCACTTTGGGAGGCTGAGGTGGGCAGATCACAAGGTCAGGAGTTCGAGACCAGCCTGGCCAACATGGTGAAACCCATCTCTATTAAAATTACAAAAATTAGCAGCGCGTGATGGCGCACGCCTGTAATCTCAGCTACTTGGGAGGCTGAGGAAGCAGAATTGCTTGAAACCGGGAGGTGGAGGTTTCAGTGAGCCGAGATCCTGCCACTGCACTCCAGCCTGGGAAAAAGAGTGAAACTCTATCTCAAAAAAACAAAACAAAGCAAAACAAAACAAAACAAAATGACTAGGGAAGAGAGTGCTATTGGCATCTGATAGGTAGAGGCCAGGGTTGCTGGTAAACATCCTACAATGCACAGGACAGCTCCCCAAAACAAAGAATTATCTGTCAATTCGTGCTAAGGTTACAAAATCCTGATTTCGGCTGGGGTGGTGGCTCACTCTATTGCACTCCAGCCTTGGTGACAAGAGTGAAATTCTGTCTCAAAAAAAAAAAAAAAAGAAATCCTGATTTAGATAAACCAACATTTGTCTGACTCCTTATGATAAAAATTTCTCCTTCCTCCCCATCCTACAGGAAACAAAAAAAAAGCCCCACAAAACTGTCCACTTAACAATATATTACTTCCTGATCACTTTGGGTCAATTTTTCTTCTCTCAAGAAAAAAAAAAAAATGGAAGCAAAGCTCCCCACTAACAAAAAATTTGTCCTCCACCTAGCTGGCAGATCAGCTTGCATCCCCTTCCACAGTGGCACATTAAAAAAAAAAAAAAAAAAAGGAGAAACACAGCCAAATAATAAAACAATATCTTCTGTAAGTAAAGAGTACACCCCTGTTTACCTGGTCGCCACTGTTTATTCTGAAAGACTACACTAAGCAAATACTGAGCCTGACAGCTAGGCTGGAGGGGAGGGGTCTCTAGGCCACAAAGGTGCAAAGCCCTCTTTCAGATCCATCTCCACCATTTCCCTTCAGGATGGTGGGTGCAGGACCACCCCTAGCCATGAGCAACTTGAGTTCCTAGAGGGAGGTGGTCCTTTTCTTCATGCTTCATGCTTCTTGTTCACTTTCTATTCACCATCAGCTCTTCCCTACCTCCCCGCAAGACTGAGAGCCTGTAGTTCTACAAGGCTGACAATCAAGAGTCTATCCACCTATGTGTGGATGTGGATGTGAATTCCAGGCCTCCCCACCACACTCTGACTCTGCTAAGCCCCTGTAGGGAGGCGGAGGTGAGCCAAAAGCTGACTGGTGGGAAATACCCAGTGTGGCCTGTCTTCCTCTCCAAGGCTCAAATAAACTCAAGTCATCTGCACCAAGGGAGCAAGGGAAAAGGAACAAGAAAGCTGTGTGGGGTTATTCTGCATCTCACCTGCCCACCACCTGCCCTTCCCTCCTTTTTAGGAATCCACTGCAGCATTGGAGAGAGAGGCCTAAGAGGGAGCTCACTGTACTCCCAACCCATCCCTCTGCCCAGCTCTTATTATTATGGTCCCATTTCCTAGGGTAGAGCTTCCACATTCAGTGTCTCACAAGGGGTACTAGTTACCTATCATTTCCATCATGCCCTCCACCCACCACCTAACCAGGGAGATCTGACCAGGCAAGAGAATGTTGTGAGGCCGACCTGATTGTTGCCCTTCTGAATGTTAGGGCATTCCAACAGAGACCTCTGCCTGGCTCCATCCACAAGTATCAGAATGTCATAAGAAGTGTGTTGTTTGCCAGATAGTTCACAGAACAAGTATAAGTTAACAGATAGCGTCTGAAGCAAGGCACCCAGGGAGGCACAGAGGAACGCAGGAGCGCTGAGACATGGTGGATGGTAGGATTCCAACCTGCCCTCCTTTCCCCTTATTTACCCAGTTTGCGCCATCATCCCACCCTCCAGAGAAAATACGGAGACAGGGAACGTCCCTCGGCAGCAAGAATGAAAGGTACGGTGGCTCAGCAACCAAGGCTGCTCCTTGTTTCTGCTACTGATGTCCTATTAACTTCTTATCTTCCAGGGTGAAGATATTACTGCAAGGCCTTTTGCCAGGCAGTTTCATGTATGATCCTTACTACAACCCTGAGAAGTAGATGTTACTGACCTGGTTAACAGTCTCAGAAACTGAGACTCAGAGAGATTGTGTTCCCAAAGACCCAGCTGGTTAGCAGAGAGCCAGAACTCAGACCTAGGTCCCTGACTTTCTGTCTAGAGTTTTTCCCACTGTTTCTCTTTTCATCTATTTTTGGTCAATTCACTGCTCCCTGATGCTTCTGCTGGAGGCTCTATATTCTGGGAAACAAGCGAAGGCAAGCAAAATGCAGCCAATCAGTGCTGACCTTAGTCAATAAAAAGGTTGCAGACAGTTGTGGTTGTCAGGCTTTGTTGCTTAACCATCTCTAGACCTCTGTTTCTTTCTCTGTAGATTGGGGACAGTAATATTACCTGTATCTCATGGGACTGTGGTGAGGATTCAATGATAAAAGGCAGGACAAGTGCTCAAGAGGATGCCTTGAACATAGTAAGCCCTCAATAAAGGGGAGCTGCGGTTACTACTAAGACAGTGTTGGAGAAAGTACAAGAGCCACAGTTTTTCCAGGGTAAGAGGTAGATTATTAAAGGCTGATACTGTATATGTTCTCTTAGCTCCTCTCTTGAACATAAACATCTGTGGTTTGTCAAAGACATTTTCAGGATCCGGTTTTCTTTTTAGAAAGAGGAAGGAAAAAAAACCCAAGGCCTGAATCTATAGGAAGTCCAAATGCACCCAGGATTCTTAAGTCACAAGATAAAAAGTGGAGATGCTTGAAGAGGCATCTGATAGTGGAATTCATGGAAGAGGAAAAGGTCAGTTCCATCTCTAGTGACTCCAACAGAGGGATGAAACATCCAAGAATGAAGAAAATTATTTCCAGGAATGGCAAATGAGGATGGAACCATAGGATATAGTTATTATTGTTAAACCAAACCCAGTGCAATAATTGGTCTGTCTCAATAACATCACTCCGGCCAAGTTGCCGTTTCCAAGAAGGAAAGAATAAGAATTTAGTCCAGCTGATTCTTCGGCATGATTTAAACCAGCAGTGGTTGTCAAACCTTAGTGTGCCTCAGAATCAACTGGAGGGCTTGTTAAATCCAAACTGCGAAGTCTCATCCCGAGTTTCTCATTTAATGGATTGGGGGTGGGACCCGAGTTTGCATTTTGAACAAGCTACCAGCTGATGCTGAGACTGCTGGTCCATCCAGGGACCACATTTCGAGAACCACTGATTTAAAGCACTTTTCTATGGGCAATCAAAGAATATCAAATTGCATAATTCTTTTTTATTTTTATTTTTGAGACGTAGTCTGGCTGTCGCCCAGGCTGGAGCGCAGTGGTGCGATCTCGGCTCACTGCAAGCTCCGCCTCCCGGGTTCACGCCATTCTCCCGCCTCAGCCTCGCGAGTAGCTGGGACTACAGGCGCCCGCCACCACGCCCGGCTAATTTTTTTTGTATTTTTAGTAGAGACGGGGTTTCACCGTGTTAGCCAGGATGGTCTCGATCTCCTGACCTCATGATCCGCCCACCTCGGCCTCCCAAAGTGTTGGGATTACAGGCGTGAGCCACCGCCCCAGCCTCAAATTGTAGAATTCTTAATACCTTGCTTCTCAATATGTATAACAGTTGCATTTACTTATTAGCCTCTCTCCTCTCTTCAGTCACATTGATTAGAAAATGAATACGTGTTTCTCAATTAAGAATCTTATGGTAAGGCCGGGCGTGGTTCCTCACGCCAGTAATCCCAGCACTTTGGGAGGCCGAGGCGGGTGGATCACGAGGTCAGGAGACTGAGACCATCCTGTCTAACACGGTGAAACCCCGTATCTACTAAAAATACAAAAAATTAGCCGGGCGTGGTGGCGGGCGCCTGTAGTCCCAGCTAGTCGAGAGGCTGAGGCAGGAGAATGGCGTGAACCCGGGAAGCGGAGCTTGCAGTGAGTCGAGATCGCACCACTGCACTCCATTCCTGGGAGAGAGAGTGAGACTCTGTCTCAAAAAAAAAAAAAAAAAAAAAAATTATGGTAAAACAGGAAAAATCAAGAGCAAAAAACCCAAAACAAAGAAACTTCCTGTGCAAGTCTGACTGACATAACAAGAACTAACTTGGCTTGTCAAGTAGGTAGACACAGGGGGCTCCAGAAGCAGAGGTGCTTATTTCTCACTCTACTCCTTCACCATTGAACACCTTCAGACTGAGAATTGGCCTTGCCTATGTTTATCTCCAACTAAGTTAGCATTCTGACTCCACAAGAATGTTGTGAAAGCGAAGCCTGGGGAAAGAATGCTATCCTAGTTTTCAGCTAAGTTTTCTTAATATCATACTCTTCAGAGGGAACAAAATCCAGTTCTCACGACCTTAAATGCTGACACTTGTCCAAAAGGCCTAATGAGGGAGAAGCATGCGTCATGCACATTAACAGAACTCAGTGATAGAAATTGGGTTGAGACAAGTGAAAATTTTACCAAAGCCAAATGACTAGTTCTATCTCCTTCAGCAAGATAACATGACAAGAGGAACTTCAGACTTCTGAGAGTTATCTTATCAATCCAAGAAGCACAAATGATGATCTTAGCAATCTAGAGGAAGAGGGTATTACAAGATAACAGGCTCCTGACCAAAATTTCAGTATTTATACAGTCTGTTACTCAACTTACATAAATCAAACTTTTAAAAACGGCCTCTTCACTATGTTGAAATTGGGTCTTTCTTCCCCAAAGATTGAAGAGAATTTGCGGGGGATGAGGGCGGTGTCTATCTTATAGCTTGTCCCTGGGGTTCAATTGCCAAAATGTTATCAGTCTATGTAAGGGTCTCATGATAGGGGCCACCCACAAAAAGCATTCTAGTGAGACTTCAGTATTGTGAGAACACAGGATGTCACATTTCATCAGTAAAACAGCCCAGCTGAGCCCCAGGATTCTGTCCCCAATCATGGCTCCAGTAAGTTTTGTGGCTTCCTTTCTGGTATTGAACTTGAAAGATCAAGGACACAAAAATAGGATGATTTCATAGACTGAAAATATGCTATTGACAAGTATTTGTAATAGGTTTCCAGTCCAAAATGAATGTTCTCTCACTTGTAATATATATCCCATAACTAGAAATACAGTTTGAAACCATTGGATAAAATTATTTTTTTCCTAGGAGAAGCTAAAGAAGCATTCAAGATCCAATCAATAATTCTGTGTACGTACACTGGGAAAAAACAAAACAAAACAAAACAAAACTTTTACTAGTGCAGGTGACTTGGAAGTTACTGTCACTCTTCCCTCCCCTCTAAAACCATCCTATACTGTGAGCTGGTTAAAGTTTACCTTTCTGCAAGAGTAAGTGTTCTTACTAATAAATAACTCATTTATACTTCAGAGACAAAGCTAAAAGGATTTCAGTTCTGCAGGAATGAGGTTTTCAGCCCCCATAAACCTTGCCTGGAGGTACATCGCTGCTTTTGTTTGAGGCTAGTTGGTCTACAGTGCCAATAGCAACATATGTGCATAGACAGCCTGTGTTCTAGGCATTAAGTACCCATGGCCTCACTTATTCTCATAATGTCCTTTTGGTTTGTTTTTTTTTTTTAGATGGACTCTCACTTTGTCACCCAGGCTGGAGTGCAATGGCGCAATCTTGGCTCACTGCAACTTCCATCTCCCGGGTTCAAGCAATTCTCATGCCTCAGCCTCCCGAGTAGTTGGGATTACAGGCGCCTGCCACCACACCTAGCTAATTTTTGTATTTTTAGTAGAGACAGGTTTCACCATGTTGGCCAGGCTGGTCTCGAACTCCTGATCTCAGGCGATCCGCCTGCCTTTGTCTCCCAAAGTGCTGGGATTACAGGCATGAGCCACAGTGCCCGGCCCCATAATGTCCCTTTGAAGCAGAGGAGAATCAGTCCCTTATAATCCTCATTATATAAAAAGAAGAAACGAGCATAGAGTGGGAGGTAGGCGGATAAGCTGACTTGCCCAAGATCACCCTGTCGATTGATCTGACTTCATCTGCAACCAGCCACATAGCTTCTCCAAAGCAGGTCGCCAGACAAGGAAAAGTGATTGGGGGTTCAAATAAAACAAATGACTACTCATGCTATAGTTAGCACGATGTGCTGTTCTGAACTCTGCTGTGGAACACCTGTTGCACTTTTTATACTATTCACATACATTACCTGGAATACTCCAGTTTTCAACATTGTCTGCTTCAGTCCCTTAAACCATAGAAGTATCCAGACATGCCAATATCATGAGAACCAAACTATACCTTAAACTGTTTTTCCTGTTGAGGAATATGAAAGAACTCTTCATTGTAGCACAGATCCCAATTTTTGGTGGAATATAGTCACCACAATTTTCATTGTCAATAAATATTGCTGGCTAATTCAGAGGTGACCTGTGGAAGCAACACGTGCTCTAAGAACTCCTGTTTCCACTGTCTGGTATTATTAGTGTGTCCTTACTTAGACTTAGCTCTCCCAGAGAGAGAGCCATCTGCTTCTCTCATTGCACAGTGACTGTGCAATGGTGTTGACTTCTAGAGAAGAGTAGCCCAAGAGCTAAATATTAGAGGTCTTATTGCTTCCCTTAAGTGCATGGCAAGAGAAAGGAAAGCAAGGTGAGAAAAGGACTGACTTGCTTTGCCAATGGCCCAGGACTGGTGATTTTATAAGGTTTAGCACAAAAACCACTCTTTTGAACTAGATACTGTGTATATCCTGTGTACTTCAAGTCACACCAGCATTCCCTACAACAGAGCTTAGGAATGCTATTTATCTTGTACTCAGGCCAACTGTGTGGCTCTCTACCGAACAGCTGGTTCCCCATCCACCTCTAGGACTATCTAGTTGATGTATAAACAATATTTTTGCCTCAAAAACGCTAACCCCATGGAAACTAACTGTTCATCCACACACACACACACACACACACACACGCACACATACACACACGAAGGAAAAGAAAGATGGGGTTAATTAGGTCAGAAGCAGGAGGAAAAGACAAAACAGGGGGAGCTTGGGGTTTGTAACTGAGATGTGGCATGCATTAGATTTGAAGTCAGGTTACTGAAGCCCCAGATTATGTTCCAAGGTCTAAACAGAACGTCCATTGAGTCTTTGATTCCTAAAGACATTTAGTGCCTTATAAAAGAGCTTAGCTATATCATTATTCCTGATTACCTTAGAAGTAAAACGATATTTTTAAAGTGTTTAGTATTTGTATTCCTCTAGGCTGAATTAGTGAACCACAAGAGACCCAATTTATAGCCACAAAATGAGGATCCAGTGTGGGTCACTGTCTACACACTTCTTGGTAAACACCAGTGTTTCACAATCTATTTTTCGTTATTTCTTTTTATCTTTTAAGAGACAGGGTCTCATTCTGTCACCCAGGCTGGAGTGCAGTGGTGCGATCATAGCTCACTGCAGCCTTGAACTCCTGGGCTCAGGTGATTCTTCCTCCTAAGCCTCCCCAGTAGCTGGGATTATAGGTGCATGCCACTATACACAGCTAACTTGTTTATTTTGTTTTTGTAGAGACAGGATCTCACTGTTTTCCAGGCTGGTATGAACTCCTGGCCTCAAGCAATCCTCCTGCCTCAGCTTCTGAAAATGTTGAGATTACAGGTGTGAGCCACTGCACCTTATTTTTTGTTAATTATATTACTACACACGTTCAGTTCTTTATGGATGAGACACTTCTTACCAGATAACCAATCAGCTAGGGTTACCAAATTGGTAGTTATCATATCCTAAAATTTAGGCTATCATTTTTCTTGGATCAATGACTTTCTATCTCCTTCAGAGCCTTACTTTACCCATCTACCCTAATCTCTTATAATCAGGAGAGCCCTGACTACATATAGACTGTGTATTTGTGTTTCTTCCCAAGATGGAAAAAGTATAACTATTACACACATTGCTTTGTACATCAGCCAAGGAGGTGGTCTTACACATTCTAATAAAAGGGTTTGTGTATTCAACTTAATAGCTAAAACATTACCAATAATAATATATATGTGTACTCTTCCTTGATCAACCTGTTCCTTAAAGTTAGATTTTTAAACAAATCCCTTCTGGGTGCCAGCTTACTGCTAAATCAAGGCAAACAATTATTTCCAACATTTTGTTATCATAGTTTAAAGTAATTATTTGCTTTATTAGGATGGGAACTCTGGCTGTACCCTCTCACTCCCTGACCCCAGAATTAACACAGCATTTATTTCACAATATTTGTGCAGGGTTTACTATTGAACCAGGGGGCACACCCATGAATAATACTGATTTCTCTTGGTGGTGACCCAGCCAAAGCATGTCAAAATGAGTACCTATCTATTCTAGTAAGATAATGGAGGAAAAGAGAAGCAAGTCATCAAGATAAAGGAACACAAACTACCATATTACCTTGAAAACAAATCTAAGTATTTGTTGTGTGTGAACACATATCAGTGCTGATTGTACAAGAAACAAGGCTTTTGAGCTGGAAGGCAATTTCAAAGACAACACCTGTTTCAAAATAGGGCAAAGAGTTCACAGCTGCATTTTGAAATTTCAGTCTGCACTTCTATTTCGGGATGTTATCCACATAGGCTTAGGAGATATAAAGAGGGAACAACACAAGAAGACAGATGTGCATGAATCAAGAAATTCTATTTCCTATTTAAAATTCAGAAAAGATTGCTGCTACATACATTAGGATGTTAACTGGGTACACTGATCACAGGGCTTCGATAACCCAAGTAAGTGGCAAGGTGTTGATACACTTGCAGAATATCAACTGAGCCTAGCCGACAGTATCTAAAAATGTCCTGAGCCTAGTCTGATAGTATCTAAAAATGAGATGGGGAGAGCAAGCATTCCACTACCTATGGAGGACAAACACTGCCCTCTACTGGCAGACTGTAACTGCTATACAGTCAACATGACGAACATTTTCCTCAACAGTCACTATCATGAGACATAATCAGAAAATAAAAGCTTTTAAATAATTTGAGGCTTTGTGTCTAGGGGTCACCAGGATTTTCAAGCAAACCGAAGTATTCAATGAGAAATCTCCTTACTCATTGAAGTTTCCGACTTTCCCCATTAAATCTTTGATGTAACTCATTGGACTGGTTCAAGTATCACTGTTACTGGGAGATGTGAGAGAACAGCAAAATGCTCAAAAGCTCAATACCAGGAAGAAGGCTTAAGGGACCCATGTATACCAAAGGGAGCTGGCTTTAGAACGAACAACTGTGATAACTTAAAGCACACAGCACTGATTCAAACCCTTGTTGTACTACATACTAGCTACATCAGGTACCACATAAAACCTCATCTTACCTGAACCAGGTTATTCTTTACAATATTGGAAGAACAAACACTTGCCGATCTCACAGTTGTTGGAAAAATTAAATGAGGTAATATGTGTTGCACAACTACAGTGTAGTACTGTATACCGATGTTCATGGATAGGAGTCTAGGTAGCTCCAAGTGTGTTTTAACCTCTCTTCATCTGTTTATCCACTTGTTGGTTTTTGAAATCCTTTAAATCAGACTGCATTTCTTCAGCACTGTCCTGAAACATAAAATTGTCTATGTTATCCATAAAATACTTAAGGATTATGAGGAAAAGTAGATGGTTAATGCTCATCCAAATTCAACTTTAACCTGAGACAACTCATTATATTAAGAAATAAATGTATGTGGGCAGTGTGCCTGCACCTGTAATCTGAGCTACTGGGGGAGCTGAAGCAGGAGGATCCCTTGAGTCCAGGAATTTGAGACCAGCCCAGGCAACATAGCAAGACTCTCATATCTCCGAAAAAGAATAAAATGGCCGGGAGGGGTGGCTCACGCCTATAATCCTAGAACTTTGGGAGGCCGAGGTGGGCAGATCACTTGAGATCAGGAGTTCAAGACCAGCCTGGCCAACATAGTGAAACCCCGTCTGTACTAAAAATACAAAAATTAGCCAGGTGTGGTGGTGTATGCCTGTAATCCCAGCTACTTGGGAGGCTGAGGCAGGAGAATCACTTGAACCCGGGAGGTGGAGTTTGCAGTGAGCTGAGATCATGTCATTGCACTCCAGCCTGGGCGACAAGAGCAAGACTCCATCTCAAAAAAAAAAAAAAAAAAAAGAAAGAAAGAAATTTAAAAAGTTAGCTAGTCACTGACGGATAACAGGATGCACAAAGCATTTAATTTCAAAGCCAAATTTGCATTTCAATTATAGTATTTGGCTGACAAGGCAAGTATGTAAACAAGAGGAAAAGTTAAAAAGAAAAAAGCCCTAATAGCTACAATATCAGCCCAGTTCTAAAGAGGGATCTTGTACCACATTGTCCACCTAACAAGTAATCTTTAATTCAAAATTCAGCGTAGTTCTTATGGGTATTTGGAATTGAATGCAAGTGTGTTCTGTGAGTATAAACATTATCTTTTATTATATATGATTGTTAAACTTTGCTTTCCACAACACTTCATAACCTTGGATGTAAACATGAGAAAAAATGCTAATTAAGAATCCTTACGCACCCAGTCCAGTGCTCCCTTAATTAATCAAACTGGTAAGTCTACTGCTTCTTGATTCCATCCTGAGGTATTAACTTTTGAACCAAGACATGTTTATCTTTTACCAACAACAGGGATGGTCACTGTTAAAGTTTCTAAATAATTTATTAGGGAAATAAGTTCCCACAAAGTCAGGCTGAACTGGGAGCTGATTAACAAAGCTGTGTAAGTTAGTGTGTTTGCTTTAAGGTATTACAAGAAGTACACAGAGCACACATCTGGGTTATAAAAGCCCTTTTATAAAGCCATTTTTAAACAAAACAAAAAAAAAGTTTACAAAAGAAAAAAAGATACAGAAAAAGAATAACTTGCTTCATATGTCCCAAAAAGAGAAAAAAATAAAGGGGACAATGCCAACATGCTCAACAATAAAGGCTTCTTTTTCTTATTTTTTTAATACAAAATACAAGCAAAGGATACACATACTTAAAACAGAGCTCAGGAGCAGACACGCAGTCCTGGAAACCCTTCAATAAAAGCAAAGCAGGAGTTTGTTTTTTCTTTGTCTATGCAGATACATACAGAGACTGGGATATGTAAAAATTAAGTATCACAAAAGACCATCACACGATTCTACCAATGCATGTTGCATCTGTAATTCACGAACATGGTCAACAAAATCATGTTCACTTCAACCCCATTTCATTTAAATTAAAGAAAAAAACCTTTTAAATAAAGTGGTTACATTCAAACTTTAACTTCCTTAGTACCATGCTGCAGATTTCAGCACTGTTAAGGTATTGCAAGAATGCCCAACCCTCTGGTGTCTGATCATGTATCTAGCAACATTGCAGTATGAAGAAAAGAGATGCCCCGGTCTCAGCCCATGGACTAGTTAATACAGTGAAGCAGGTTCCTGTCTTTTACCCTTCCTGCTCAGAACATAAAAGATTAAGGACTAAAATCAAGGAAGACTGGGAGTTTTAGAGCTGGCAAAATGAAGTCTAAAAGATAAATCAAGGCAAACAATTACTGAGAACTTGGCTGTTGCTTAACCTGGCAAGTCTAAAAGCCTTTCTTTAACCTTGTAGGAATTAGATGCATAAGGTTTGCTGCAACATGTTCATGGTAAACAAACTAAGTAGAGCTCTTATTTACAAATCTTGTAACAAATACTTCTGGAGGAAAAAGAGAAAAGAATTCACTAAGTTCCAGAAGACAAAGCTTTAATTGCCAGATGTATACAAACACACACTCACACGTACACACCCACACAATACTTCAGGGGTTTTTATACATGTTATTTTAGGGCATAAGCTGAGTACTATACCCCCACACCCCATCAAAAAAGGAACAACAAAAAAATCCCAATTTTACCCTCCCCCAATAATCTAGAAAACCCTCCCTTCACCCCTGATGTACAAAGTGTATGCACAACGGTGGCATTCTACCAGCCACACAAAGCATGCTCAAACAGATGTCACCAGTTCAGTCACTCCATTGGCATGGCAACAGGCAGGTTTACGGGATGTTTCCCAATAGTGGTTATTACACAGTCAGCACCACTGTGAATTTTGTGAATTTGAAAAAAAAAAGTGTAATTTATGGATTCAGGATTCAAAAAGAATCATTTTGTATCGAATTTACCCCAGACAAAGGGAAAACTGGTTGCGACTGAAACTTGGCTATAGATAGCTTGATGTCCCAATATTCAAACAATAAGCCAACTCTCCATTTTCAAGTAAATCCAGCTTCATCCACAGAGAAACAGACAATTTTCTAACCTCAAGAGCAACCAGCTTGTTACATTTTCCCTATCCTATGGCAGGAAATGCGTATTACTTCTGTTCTGTTTAAGCATCTCAGTCTAAATGCCATGAAGACCAGAGCCCAGGTTTCTTCCTTTTCAAATTCTTAAGGTGAAAGTTTTTTCCTTTCAGTGCAGCTACCAATGATGCAGGCAAAGAACTGTTCAAGCCAGCACTCATTCTTCAAAGCTGCAACAGTGGCCACCATGATCTTTTATAAAGCTTTCCCCGTTGCTCCTGATATTTATTTCTGCTTTTGCCTAACGCTCTCAAAGCATCTCGTAAACTGAAGTTTAAAGAAAAGCACGATTCCCATCCCCAACCAGTACTTGAAAATCCACTTATCTGAATGTTCACAGATAAAAAAGCCATTAAAAAAAAGAGTCAAGTTTAGTCTAGCTGACCATATTCACAAGTGTTAAAAACTTTACTGGAGTATAACCTCAAATTTCACTCTTGATTTGTTATCTGTAAGAAAATGCTATTTGAGCCAGTACCAAATTAAGTATTAAAATGAGGATTGAACTGGGGCAAACAGGTTATTGTGAAAACAGTCAATATGTAAGCTCCTTCAAGGGAAATCAACTACTGTTCCTCAAGATTAGAAGATGTCCACACTCTTTGCATTACCTCCCTAAAGGAGGAAACACCCATTAATTTTCCCTTATGGAATCAATATGGAGTGGAAATATGAAATGAGGAGATGTTTTAGAAAGCAGGACAAATCTACCTACCATTACTGGAATTAAAATGTATCCTCTGGGCCCACTCCATTGATTCCGATCTGAGGTGAGGAGGACTAAAAGCAGCAGCAGGTTACAGAAAGACTGAATAAGATGAAAGTATGCTACGTATGTCTAGCTGGGGAAGGGGGGATCTGGAAAAAAAATCTTAAGAACTAGAATGTAGTGTCAGTCAGCATAGCTGCTGAAATCTACGTTGTAGAGGTAAACCTAGCAGAGCTAATACAAACAAGCACCTTCAAAGTTAACGTCCCACTTCCTGAGCACTGCAAAATACGACAGTGAATGCTATTGCCATTTCACCATAGGCACACTAGAGAAAAAGAGGAAGGTTAGTCAAGGATGGTGCCAATGGCCAGTCAGTATCGGCTTACAGCTTGTAATGCGTCCTGACATCACTATCAAGCCTGACTATTGAGCACCTGTATCCAGTTGAGTCACCACCACTGTCCTCCTATTTGCATGCATGATTTGAGGGGAAGACTAGAGTGTTTTAAATCATCAATAAAAAGTGGAGAAAACAAAGGTTATTCAGAGCCTGTCTCACTTGGGGACACAGATCCTTCTGTCCAGTCTATCAGAAATATAGAATACATTTTTCAATCTAATGAATTAATTTTAAAAGGGACCCTAAACAAGAAGCCCAATCAAATGCACACAAGTAATCTAGAAGACATGATTACCTCTAAAATATGTGCATATATCACAGAGATGTTAGTGCAGATTAATATATTAAAGAGACTGTTAAACAACTGAGGCTGAAGTTTTAAAAGAGCCCTCCCCCCAAATCTTCACGAAACATAACCTAAGAAAAGCCCAAATGTTACTAGGAATGTAAGACTTAAAATTATAAACTCCTAAAAAATAGAAGTGCATGGTGGAAACACTGATAGGTCTTTTACTATATGAACACAAACTTCTTTGTTAAAAATGGATACCTGAACAAACCCATTTAGGCAAATAGATTAATCTTTAACACCCTCATTACAAAGTTCACACCTCTGAATTTAACCGTCATGAAAGAGAATGATCCAACTGCTATTTATGTTCAAGTCCTGTATTTTTGGCCATGTAACTGAAAACTCCTTATTCATTCTTTAACACACAGTGCAATAGTGAAATGACTCTGCCACTGTGTGTTTTTTAAAAAAAGATCAGAGTAAGCATGTTCCTAGTAAACCACAAAGTAGGATATTGAGGAAGCAAATCTAGATTAAAAGGCAGGAAAAAAAGGCAGAAGTTTAAATTTCACTAATTTTTCAATTTATTAGCATACCAGGACCCTTTAAACCTTGTTCCCATTAGCGCCTGGTATTAGATGTGAAGGATCAAACCTACGGATCTATCTCCTGACTGCTTTTATAAGGCGTGTAAAAGTCGGTTTTCAACTGCACACAGGCCTCCTAAAATGCCTTGTTTCTCTAGTCCCTCCTGCTTTAAGCAGCATGAGCAGTAAAGCAGGGGTTGGACCAAATAAAAAGACAAGAGCTAACTGAATTGTATGGGAGCAGCATTTAACATATTCCTAGTCAAGGACAGGATGGGAAGTAAGTGAAGAATAGGGCCAGGAAAATAGTGTCCTATAGCAGAGGTGGTTGGCACTCGGGGTAGGGTGTGCAGTGGTGCTCTACGAAGCAGCAGGATCACAGGGATGTACTTCTTATCACATTTCTATGAAGAAATGGGAAGATCGGGATATGAAAAAGAAAATGTTCTATCCCCAAATAAAAGCAGAGCATGGTTAATGGGACCTGAATGCACATTTATAGCATAAAAGAATGTCAATTCTATTTCATAAAGGAAAAATCTCAACTCTTTGTGACTGAGTTTCACATTAACTGGAACTTTATTTGCTTAAAACCTAAACATTGTCAGTTTGAAAAGAAATCCACTGTGACCTGTAGACTGATCTTGTTGATTAAATTCTAGGGTTTTTTTTTTTTTGGATTCTTGGTAAAATTTTATCCAAAAAACAGGATACATATATATTTAGAGAAGGAAATATGAAATCAAGAGTTTTGGCAGCCCCTGCTTTTTTTTTTTTTTTAGCTCCCTAAAGACTGTAGCAGGATAAAAGGATCACTGGCTCCGAGTCTCTTTGAGATAACAAGTGATGAAATAAAAAAGAAAGCCCATACCCTCAAATAAGGTCAGGTAACCCCATTGCCCACCCTCCCTACAAGGTAAAAAATGAGTACTTTTAGTAACAGTTCAGAATTCATCTTTATCTCCTACCTGCCTCATCGGTGGAAGTTTAAAGTCATGATTTTTTTTAGACATTGATACTTGTGTCTATAGACAAATAAACTCATATTAGATGACAATTGATTTTTTAAAAGTCCAGGTAGAGAAAGGAGCAATCATTTTGAACTAAAATCTTTCTATGTTTTTTGATTACTATTCAACTTGCTATTTTTTAGCAAAAAGCGAAGTTTCAATAGTGTTCATCTCAAATCTTATTGCTTTACAACCGTGGTACACCTTTCATTAAAAATAAAAAGATGAAGCAGTCAATCCAGTGATTAATTTGACATGGCTTTCATTGGGAAAGGGGAGGGCTGGCAAAGAGACCAATAGACAAAAAGGTAACTTAAACACTTACACATACAATGGTTTGCTTTAAAAAAAAAAAAAAAAAAAGAGAGAGAGAGAGAAATGTTACTTTCAACAAATGGAAAAAAGCACTGAAAGCCCATGAGTCAAGCCATAGCCAAAACCATGTTCTATCTTAAGTAGGTTCTTTTTTTTCCTCCCTCTTTTTTCTTTTTTTTTCTTTTTTTTTTTAATAAAATCTCTCCCCAGACCATCATCACTTTTAATCCTCCCCAGAAGGGGCTTCATCTTCAGACCCTTCATCCCCAGATTTCTCGGGTGGGGGGCTTGTAGATGTTTTCTTTTCTGGCGGGCTTTCCGGTTCCTCATCTTCTTCTTTGGGAGAAGGAGTCTTTTCCTTTGATGCCTTTGAAGCTGTGGGGCGACCCACTTTCCCTTTGCCTTTCACTGGACTTGGCGTCACTGAAAATAGAAAAATAATTTGGGGAAGGGAAGAGAAAAAAATGTCTTTAATAAAAGTCAGCTACAAAATACAACAATCTGTAAGAATAAAATCTATAAAGACAATATGCAACTTACTAAAAACCAAGGTGGGCACAAGGGAGCACATATATCCCTAGGTAAATCTATCTCAGTTTCTAAACTGGTCATAAGTTACTACACTATGCTACAGTATTTCCCATCAGTTTTTACCAACACTCTATGATGTTAGCAGTAATACCTGTAAAGAAGAAGCACCATGCTATAGAATATGCACAACATCCTTAATTGCTTGGTAAACTAACAGTTGTTTATGATAAAAGTTGTTTATAAAAAGCAGGTCAAAAAGACGGAAGGAAAAGAATTAATCTGATCAGAAACTAAAGCCATCAAATAACATTTGATAGTTCCATCATTCCTAACAGTAGGAAGTGATAAACAGAAGTTTAACAATGACTAGTTCTACCTAACAGAATAAAACCACCTACACAAAAAGCAAATTGATTTCTGATTTAGTTAACAAACTAGCTCCAACGAGGAGAAACCATTAGGGCTCAGAAAAAAATCAACTCATGTCATCAAGTGTGGTTTTATTCTGATAGCACAGAGGATGGGGTAGAGTTCAGAACGTGGAACTTAAACGTATTACTCTAGGTTTGTGCATTTTCACAATTAAGTCTTTGCTGGCTGCTGAGACTGTGATACCAGTGAGGAAAAAAGAGCAGTAACAACTATGATGACACAGTGTTTCTACCACTGTGTCTGAAACAAATAGATCATTCTGAAATCTTGCTCAAGTACTGGCAGTAGTTGAAGAACATGGCTAAGCCCACTAGACTCTTAAACAGGCTAGTGTCTTTATTAATAAGAGATACTTCCAGTTGCAGAATACAAGACCCTTTTAGATTTCTTGTATTCCTGCTAAACATCAGGCCAATGCCAAATCCTAATGAGGAATTTCTGTATTGAAAATAATGATTCTCAAAATTTTTAAAGCAGTAAATTTAATTTCACTTCTGCAGAAATTACCTGTAGCCTTTAGTCTGGGTTTGGGCATTTTCTTTTCTTTTCTTTCAGGTTTGGACTTCTTAACCATCTTTTTGTTTTTCTTTTTCGAACTGCCATAGTCACTATCGTCATCATCTTCCATTAGGAAATCTTCATCGCTGCCGGAATCTTCTGAGAAGAAAGAAGAATTTCAACATCTAACTTAATGTACACATCCTTCCAAGTAAAAAAGGAAGAGAGTGCTAAGAATGACTAGAGGATGGGATTTGGGAGTCAAACACCCTTGGATTCTATTTGGAGCTGTACTACCAATTTGACTGGAGTCATCACTGGCCTCATTTGTCAAATGGATTTTGCATGCACCTTACATGAGAGAGTTACATGAGTGATGTGTTTGAAAAGTAGATTGAAAACAGGAAGGGTAAGAGTTAATCTGAATAAAAACTGAAACTATCAAATAACTTTTGGTAGTTCCATCACTTCCAAGTAGTACTGGTTGAGACCAGGGAAACAAAACTGAACTGACAGGGCCTTTTTGGTCCAATTATGAATAAGTGAAACAAGAAAACCAAACACAAAACAAAAATACATAGGATTAACTAATCTGAATAACCTGTGAAACACCTAAATTTTATTATTAACATGTTTTTTTCTGTGAAAAGAGGTCTACAACCTCCTCCACCAGGGCAAAATACAAATCTCAATCACAATGCCTAATGTGACTGTTACTTAAGCAAATTGTTCATTCAGTGTTTGAACACAGACATCATTAAATAAAGGGTGCAACCATTACAAATGGTGGGCAATCGTGAGAATCTCTGAACCTTTAAAAATATTAACAGGAACCAATACAGTCATCTCTTTTAACACGGAGTATCTACCCAATTTAAGGGACTGGTTGTAACATTTAGCATCCTAGAAAATGCCAAAGTAACCAAGGTCACAAACTACAATTATGACCAAACAACCAAAGTACACAAAACAACTTCACATACTCTCCTGGAATGGTGCCTCATCCTCCTCTTCTTGTTCTTCCTCACTGCCCACATCTTCCATGAGCATCTCTCTCTGTTTAGAAGCTGCTTTAGATGCCGCCTGCCGTTGTTGGCGCACATTTTTATGATCTTCTTTTTCATCTTCACTATCCTCTGCAATATCAGAATTACCATGATATAATGATTAAAGAATTTTATATTTGACAAGATAGTGCAAAAGATTAATAATTGACTGAAAACATAACTGACTGAAAAGGCCAACACAGTGGCCAATATAGGATATAATCTGCAGCTTTATTTCATTGTAAAAGGGCAAATTCTATCCTTCAACATTTCTGCAAAATGATGGAATCAACTCAAATGCCCATCAATGATAGACTGGATAAAGAAAATGTGGTACATACACACCATGGAATACTATGCAGCCATAAAAAGGGAAGGAGATCATGCTCTTTGCAGGGACATGGATGGAGCTGGAGGCCATTATCCTCAGCAAACTAATGCAGGCACAAAAGACCAAACACTGCCATGTTCTCGCTTATAAGTGGGAGCTGAACAATGAGAACACATGGACACAGGGAGGGGAACAACACACACTGGGGCCTGTGGCGAGGGAGGGGGCAGGGTGGGGGGATGGAGAGGGAGAGCATTAAAAATTAGCTAATGCATGCTGGGCTTAATACCTAGGTGATGGGTTGATGGGTGCAGCAAATCACCATGGCACACATTTACGTATGTAACAAACCTGCACATCCTGCACATGTATCCCACAACATAAAAAAAAAAAAAATTCTACAAAATGTATAAAGGGGACCTAAATTCACAAAGAATGAACTTGGACAAGACTATGTAACCACTATTACATATAAAGTAACAAGGGAATGTAATTTTAAGCAGTAGACAAGCTGAATTAAAGCGTGAATACATGACTCCTATACTTTAAAGTTACATCATTGCTTTGCTCTACAATTCTCAATTACATTCAAATCTATGTTCACTGTTTTTGAAAGCTAAAGTTAGAAAAATATCTTAACATAGTATGAGAGAGAAAGAATGTCTTCCAATAATCTTTATTCTAAGACATAAAACACGAAAACCCTAAAATAATGTCAAACTGTTACCCTTTACAATGAATGGCTTGTGACCATTTCAATTTAGAGGGGATTGTGGAAAACCTTTTTTTTTTTTTTGAGATGGAGTTTTGCTCTTGTTGCCCAGGCTGGAGTGCAATATAGCGCAATCTCGCCTCACTGCAACCTCACCTCCCAGGTTCAAGCGATTCTCCTGCCTCACCCTCCCGAGTAGCTGGGATTACAGGTGCGCACCACCACTCCTGGCTAATTTTGTATTTTTAGTAGAGACAGGGTTTCACCATGTTGGTCAGGCTGGTCTCGAACTCCCGACCTCAGGTGATCCACCCTCCTTGGCCTCCCAAAGTGCTGGAATTACAGGCGTGAGCCACTGCGCCCAGCTGGAAAATCTTTAAAATACATATTTAGATTAATTAGTGAAAGACATTTGGAGAAGCCTATAAAAAATTTACTTTCACATATTCTTAGAGTCTATTAATGAAAAAAAAATTTTTTTTTTTTTAATTTGGAGTCTCACTCTGTCGCCCAGATTGGAGTGCAGTGGTGCAATCTTGGCTCATTGCAGCCTGTGCCTCCTGGGTTCAAGCTATTCTCCTGTCTCATCCTCCCGAGTAGCTAGGACTCCAGGCACATGCAGCCATGCCCGGCTAATTTCTTGTTGTTGTTTGCTTGTTTGTTTTTTGAGATGGAGTTTTGCTCTTCTTGCTTAGGCTGGAGTACAACAGTGGGATCTCAGCTCACTGCAACCTCTGCCTCCCAGGTTCAAGTGATTCTCCTGCCTCGGCCTCCCGAGTAGCTGGGATTACAGGCACCCACCACCACACCCGGCTAATTTTTTTATTTTTAGTAGAGAAGGAGTTTTGCCATGTTGGCCAGGCTGGTCTCGAACTCCTGACCTCAGGTGATCCACCTGCCTTGGCCTCCCAAAGTGCTGGGATTACAGGCATGAGCCACCGGGCTCAGCCAAATTTTTGTATTTTTGATAGAGACAGGGTTTTGCCATGTTGGCCAGGCTGGTCTTGAACCCTTGACCTCAGGTGATCCACCCACCTTGGCCTCCCAAAGTGCTGGGATGGCGGGTGGGAGCCACCATGCTCAGCCTAAAAAAAATTTTTTTAACACACAGTTGTGTTTGTGAATAAATTTGGTTAAAGGGTAGGCTGCCAGCCTACTGCCTCTAGACTAAACCATATTTGCCTTAGTCTCTACCTACAGCCCTTTTCTGAAAACACTTCTAGTCCCATGAGCCTTGCCATAGTCAGTGTTCAAGTCATCTCTTTCACTTTTAAAAATCTCATCTAGAGACAAACAGAATAAAGCTGACATGGCCGACCCAAAACTAAACCCACTTGGTAGAAGCTTAGCTTAATACTAGTACAGAGTTATTTATCTAGAAGTGCTCAATAAACTAGCAAGTGTAAGAGATTCAAACTAGGATTTACAAGGCAAATGACTGAAAGCATATACTCTATTATCACAGGATCACCAGATAGTGCAAAAGATTAATACAGTTTCTTTTCAACTTAGGTAGCCAGATAGTATACTTGAATAGGAGGGAAAGCAAAACAGCTAAGCAGAGTGAATTTAGCAGAACTTTGTCTCTCCCCTTTGTATTAGCTAAACAGCAGTCTCATTTAAAGGGAGATCCAGGGAGACAACAGCAAGGGAATGTAGGTCAAAACTAAAGTGGCTGGAAGTAATATGGATTAAAAATCTCAATTCTTAGAAGATTAAATTTAAAAATAAATACCAACAACAAGTAGAATCATCAGGACTGAACATTTTATTTGGCCATGGAGACTCCCCATTAATTCATATTAATTTAAGTTAAAATTTTTACAAAAAAAACTTTCTCTATGGCTACTGTTACAAAAGGCTATGTCTCCACTAAAAAGAGTGGGAATGAAACTTTCATTTGCTTTTCCACCCAGAGTCCACCACTCCCCCTTTTTATGCCCCTATTTTACCAAGTTTTATATTTATATATTATTCTATTTAGTTTGATGTCTTTTGTTTACGTAAATGATTTCCAATATTGACTGTGCATAAGAATAATGTATAGATACTTAAAGAAAACCAAGCCCCAACATCCCACTTAGATCTATTTAATCAGAAATTTTGGGACAGGACCCAGAATATGCATTTTAAAAAAGATTCATAGATGACTGTAATAAGCCACCAGGACTGACAATCATTAGGAGCTCTTTGAAGATGGAAACGTCTTTGTAATCCCAGATTTGCAACAGTGCCTGGCATAGAAATCACTTATTAAAACATCTAATAAAATAATATACAAATATAATTATACCTCTTACATTTAAAATAGTTTACTACCTGCTGAGTGAGAATCATCCTTCTTGGTCTTCACATCTTTGTCTTCTGAGTCCTCACTATAAAGGGAGGCAAAAAAGCAAATGCATAAAAGTCTTAGCTCAAAATCTAAGTGAACATAGATCTCTGATTTCTGACTTGAGAAGAAGTGAAAAATACCTCTTCTATATAAAATCTTCAAACAAATGCTAAGGAGTACTTTATTTCCTTATTTACAGGGATGCTGGTGAATAAGCACAATTTTATTTACGTTACAAAACACTGCTTCCAAAGACTCAAAGGAAAAAAAGAAGCTGTCTCAACACAGGCTGGAATTTTTTCACCTATGGATAAAGCTTGGTTCACAAGAATATTTAATAAGAAAAATATTCTCGAACAGAGGCAGAGTATAAAAATACTAAAAATACATAGTGTTGATGGCAAATAAAGATCACTAAATATACACAAGAAAAACTGCTAAAATATCTAAAATTATTAAAAGGAACTGTAGTCCGGGCGTGGTGGCTCACGCCTGTAATCTCAGCAGTTTGGGTGGCTGAGGTAGGCAGATTGCTGGAGGCCAGGAGTTCAAGACCAGCCTGGCTAACATGGTGAAACCCTGTCTCTACTAAAAATACAAATATTAGCCAGGCGTGGTGGTGCATGGTTGTAATCTCAGCTACTCGGGAGGCTGAGAGAGGAGAATCACTTGAACCCAGGAGGCAGAGGTTGCAGTGAGCTAGGATTGCACCGCTGCACTCCAGCTTGGGTGGCAGAGCAAGACTCCATCCCCACCCCCCCCAAAAAAAGGAATTGTAGTTCAGTTATCTTACCTAACTTATAATATGCCTAAAAATTTACCTAGAACAAAATGGAAAATAAATTGATTGAATTATCCCCTATTAATATTTCCTTCCAATATTTCTTTGCATCAGAAACATCAACATATAGTCCTGCCTGGTGGTACCATGAAGAAAATAAAATGAGCTCAAAATCACTCCACAAAGTAAAATAAGAAGTTAAGGAGCTTCAAAGTTCAATGGAAAGTTTTTAAAAACAATTTTTAGTTACAACCAAACACATTATGTCTTCATAAGTCTTAACTCCAGAATCTGGATTCTAGTATCCTATCTCTCTTTGTTAATTTCCATATTTTTAAAAATAGAGATGGGGTTTCACCATGTTGCCCAGGCTGGTGATGAACTCCTGAGCTCAAGTGATCCACCTGTCCTGGCATCCCAAAGTGCTGGGATTACAAGCGTGAGCCACCATATCCAGCACCTAGTAGTCTGTTTGTCATTAGTTAGTTGTATGATCTTAGGCAAATCACTTGGTATTCTTCAATGCTACAATTTTACGATTCCATGAAAAATTCTGAAGAACAAAAACCAAAAACTCGCACATAAAAACTGCCTTCAAAGCTTTCCTTTCTCAAATAGCAGGTCTTATAAATCACTTTTGGTATTCTCCATAATCTAGACCACACTCAAATGAGAAATTACTGAACCCATGATTCCTAAGCAAAGAGAATGACCAAACATATTCCTTTACTAAGCAACCTGAGTCCAAGACACTTTATAATTCTGAAACCTGTGACTGTTCTGTATAAATGTTTTTTATGCAAAATAAGCACCAAATTCATAATTCTAACACAATGATGAATTATATTATTTTTTCCAGCTCTTTTATCGAGTTTATAGACTACATTAATCTTTAAGTACCACTACAGCAAAGTTAAGTGAAGGCTGAACTTTGAAAACAGAAAAATCAACAGAGCACTGGTCTGAGAATAAATACACAAGGCATACAGATAGCAATAAAACCTGTATTTATTTCAATCCTTCCAGCACTCAGAATAATAAAATCAAATGACTGCAACAAGAAAAACTGTAAGCTAGATGTTAATTATGTCAATGAGACATTATAACATGCCACAAAGCAGGTCTTTCCTAGGAGAAATAAGATAATGAATATAATGAAAAATAGTTCTGAGTTGGGCTGCCATCTAAAACTGTTTGGCCCGGCGCGGTGGCTCATGCCTGTAATTCCAACACTTTGGGAGGCCGAGGTGGGCTGATCACGAGGTCAGGAGTTCAAGACCAGCCTAGCCAACACTGTGAAACCCCATCTCTACTAAAAATACAAAAATTAGCCAGGTGTGGTGGTGGGTGCCCATAGTCCCAGCTACTCAGGAGGCTGAGGCAAGAGAATCACTTGAACCCAGAAGGCAGAGGTTGCAGTGAGCTGAGACCATACCATTGCACTCCAGCCTGGGTGACAAGAGTGAGACTGCCTCAAAAAACAAACAAACAAACAAACAAAAAACTGTTTTAGGCCAGGCATGGTGGCTCACACTGTAATCCCTGCACTTTGGGACGCTGAGATGGGAGGATCGCTTGAGCCCAGGAGTTTGAAACTAGCCTGGGCAACATGGCGAGAGCCCATCTCTATTAAAAACAAACAACAACAACTATGTTAGACATATACCAAGAAGCTCTAGAAGACTTGTTTCCCAACAGTATAATTCTGTATTATTTTTCCTTAAAAGCACACTTCTGAAATGCTCCAGCAAAAAAAGTATTAGAGGTTGTCAACATAAATAAAACTACTAGGTAAATACATGAATTTAATAATGATTTTGGTGCTCCAAGATTCTTAGAAGAAGCAGTGAGAAATATTTCATTTATTTGAACTGCTCATTTGTAATAGTATTATTTGGAAGTGGTATAGAGCTCCAATGGTTAAACAATGTACTTTGGAGTCCAACAGACATGGTTTCATAACCTGTTTGTCCATTTGCTGGATAACTTTGGTTAAATCACAGAACCCCTCTAAGAAGTTAATATTTACCCAAATAGAGATGATGTAAGAATTAAATGATAGTGTACGTAAAACACATAATAGAGATTGTCACATAATAAACAGTAGCCATCACCATCACTATAATCACCATTATCACCAAGAAGGTCTTGTTACACCAAGTGTAACAAGTTCATGTTACATCAAGTGTGAGAGTGTGTATAACTTTACTAACAAGGCAGAAATTACAATATCCTCGTCTTGTTGTTGTTTTTTTTTCCCAAGACAGTCCTGGCTCTGTCACCTAGGCTGGAGTGCAGTGGTGCAATCATAGCTCACTGCAGCCTTGAACTCCTGGGCTCAAAGGATCCTCCTGCCTCGGACTCCTGAGTAGCTGGGACTACAGGCAAGTGCCACCATTCCCGGCCAATTTTTAAATTTTTATGTAGAGATGTGGTCTCCTTATATTGCCCAGGCTGGTCTCAAACTCCCGGGCTCAAGCGATCCTCCTACCTAGGCCTCCCAAAGTCCTGGGATTACAAGCATGAGCCACCATGTACTCCTAATATCCTGGTCTTATGAGGCAAAATTATAGTTAAAATCACAACTCATTTGTAAAACTAAGGGAAAAGAAACTCTCCAAAATGGTTAAATTATTTAAACAAAGGAGAATTGATTATGAGACAGCAAAAGGCAGCAGGCTATACAACTTAAGATTCTACAAGCTTTAGTTGTAATTAATTGTGCCAGTGATTTGTGACTGAATGAGATATATCACTTATTTTTTGTTATCACTACAATGAAAGTGTCAGTATTAACCTTAGATAACAAATTGTATACTCGAGCACAGCCTGAGATAATATGAAATATGCAAAATATTAAGTGGACAGTAAGTACTTTTCAAAAGTATATGAGATTCCAACAATTTAGAGATCAGAGACTGCTCTCATCTCAGAGTGGTAACAGTGTAAGCAGGAACAGAAAAACAATGCCTCTTACCTATCTTCCTGTGAATTCTTTCCAGATCGCCTCTTATTTTTAGCTTCTCGGGGAGATGATCGAATTTTCTTAGTGGGAGGGCCCGAATCTCTTCCATAATCTTCATCTAAACAGTGTTTTTCAAACTTAATTAACTATGATTTTTACATGTTAAAATCACCACTATATTTACTGACATAATTATCTCTCATGCTGTTTAAATGGTGAGAGGAGCAGGATTTCCCAAATAGTTTCTTTCATCTTTAAAAAACTAAATTATTTCCCAACGCAGTCCTATCACCTTCACTTCGTTTTTGCATATTACCCTCTAGTCCTTATGATATATATTTCATCTTTCTATAGCTAAACCTCTCTCATCATTTTATACCCTCCCCTTTTGATTTCAACATCTTCACACTTATTTGAAAATTATTGTAATATGGTTATATTACAAACATTTTAGGAAGTAAACACAATTACTATTACTAAGCAAATTACTTTTAAACTAAAGCATTAAATACAACATAATCTTGCACTTGAAGAAAATATCTCCAATTTCAAAAGCCCTATAAAACTAAGGAAAATGACTCTACCTTAAAAGGAAATTATTTCCAAAACTGTTTACTGCACCATTTGCACACACACACATGCACACACACACACACACGATGGCGAGATGCTGGAAGTAGTCTGGAGCGTCAGCAATTATTAAGTGGTCAGAAACATTATAAATTCCATTATGGGATATTATATAACCATTGATAGGAATTTTTCAAATACCTTTTATTAACAAGATACTCAAAATAGAAATAATAATAGTATATCACACATTAACAGATTATTCTAAGTAAATATTAAATACAAACATTTGAAACAATTCCTGACATGTAGCAAGCATTTAATAAATATTAGTGCTACATATTATTTTTTTTCTCTTCTTCATATCTTTCAGTATTTTCTAAGTCTTCCCAAAGGGCACATATTATCTTTATAAAGAAAAGTTAGAATAAAAAGAAAGAAAAAAGAATAGTAAACATACCTGGAAAGTAATGAGATTAAGGAGACAACTCTGAAAAAACCTCTTATGGCTAAGACTTAGCTATACAACACTCATTCCTTGATGAATTAGTTCATAAATATAAGTTGTTTCACAAAACAGACTCTCATCTTAGTTGCTTTATTATGTAAAAACATAATACAAGGCACAAGTTTTATTGTAGTAACAGCAGGAGATTTTTTTTCCCCTGCAAAGTGCTGGGATTCATAGGCGTGAGCCACTGCGCCTGGCTGTAGTGGATTTTTTTTTTTGAGACAGGGTCTCTTTCTGTTGCCCAGGCTGGAGTGCAGTGGCGCCATCTCGGCTCACTGCAACCTCCGCCTCCCGAGTTCAAGCGATTCTCTTGCCTCAGCCTCCAGAGTAGCTGGGATTACAGGTGCATGCCAACACTCCCGGCTAATTTTTGTATTTTTAGCAGAGATGGGGTTTCACCATGTTGGCCAGGATGGTCTGGAACTCTTGACCTCAAGTGGTCCGCCCACCTTGGCCTCCCAAAGTGCTGGGATTACAGGCATGAGCCATGGCGACTGGCTGACAGCAGGAGATATTTTAAGCAATGAACACTGTATCAGAATTACTGGACATTTAAACTTTGGACTCCAAAACCAGGTAAGAAAAAAGCTTTTTAATGTTTATTATCAATGATTTACCAAGGAAAAGTTAAAATCCATGTAAGTTCAACTTTTGCTTTGGTTGACACAGATCATGACATGGTTTTGGTAAATGATCTAAAAATAAAAAAGTAAAACTTATTCCAAAAGCATAATAAAACTATATAAGCTGGTAACCTCCACTGGTCAGTCCAACTTAAAATTTGTTGAAACCACAAAACTTACCTGCATCATCAGATTCCTGAAACTGTGAGTAATCAACAACCTTCCTATTTCTGTAGAAAGAAGAGACTCTAATTAAAATCATAAAACTGTAGGATTTTTCTAAGACATCAGAACACACATTTCTCTTTCATAAACAGAACTGAACTAGCACTTTGAAAATTATTTAATTGCTGGACGTGGTGGCTCACACCTGTAATCCCAGCACTTTGGGAGGCCAAGGCTGGTGGATCATCTGAGGTTGGGAGTTTGAGATCAGCCTAACCAACATAGAGAAACCTTGTCTCTACTAAAAACACAAAATTAGCCAAGCGTGGTGGTGCATGCCTGTAATCCCTGCTACTTGGGAAGCTGAGGTAGGAGAATCACTTGAACCCAGGGGTCAGAGGTTGTGGTGAGCCGAGATACCTCCATTGCACTCCAGCCTGGGCAACAAAAGTGAAACTCCATCTCAAAAAAAAAAAAGAAAAGAAAAAAAAAGAAAATTATTTAATTAATTTTTTGAGACAGGGTGTCACTCTGTCGCCTAGGCTGGAGAGCAGTGACACAATCATGGCTCACTGCAACCTTGACCTACTGGGCCCAAGTAATCCGCCTGCCTCAGCCTCCTGAGTAGCTGGGACTACAGACGCATGCTGGCTAATTTTTTTTCATTTTTTGTAGAGACAGGGTCTCCTGGTGTTGCCCAGGCTGGTCTCAAACTCCTGAGCTCAGGTAGTCATCCTGCCTCAGCCTCCCGAAGTGCTGGGATTACAGGCACGAGCCACTGCACCCAGCCAAAAATTATTTTTTAAAGGCCCCCACTTAAGCCTAAGTACTTAACATTCTGTTATAAGAAAGCATAGCATAAACCACAAGTATGTCAAGCTACAATTCTCATACTGCTCATCTCAGTGATAATTCAAATACCATTCTTTTCTCTCTCTTTTTTTTTTTTTGAGATGAAGTCTTGCCCTGTCGCCCAGGCTAGAGTGCAATGGCGAGATCTTGGCTCACTGCAACCTCTGCCTCCCAAGTTCAAGCGATTCTCCTGCTTCAGCCTCCCGAGTAGCTGAGATTACAGGCGTGTGCCACCACGCCTGGCTAATATTTGTATCTTTAGTAGAGACGGGGTTTCACCATGTTGGCCAGGCTGGTCTCCCCTGATCTCGTGATCCGCCCGTCTTGGCCTCCCAAAGTGCTGGGATTACAGGCGTGAGCCACCGTGCCCGGTCTCAAATACCATTCTTTTCTACAAAACAATCTCCCGTCTCTCAAAACAAATATACATAAAACAGCAAAATGAGCCAAATCACCATGTACCTATGTATTCATTATATACAAAGATGCCCTATTTATAAGCTAAAGTTGTAAATGATATTTTACTCTTACTGCTACACACATATATATGTATACTTGATAAACAAGGTTATTACTAAGCTTTTCAAGGCAAAAGCAATTTTTAGGTATAGTACAGTTACATTATAATGCACAAAAATTATGGTAATGTTAAGCTTTATACAGAAGGGGAAGGAAACAAATTAATTGGTCCAGTCAAAAGATGCTTTATTTAAAAAACTATGAAAGCCTCACAGATTTATGTACATCTATGTATTTGACTCTATTCTTTTGTTTCTAAACTTTTTTTTTCCTTTTCCAATTTTACAGACCTGGTTTATCAGCAACATTTATAAAACTAGACCTCAGGAAAGAACTAGTTCTGGGGATATATGCATGGTCTTAATAAAGTGAATGGTTAGCCTGTCCTGACTATTACAAAATCAAAACAGTGAGAATATCTGCAGAATCTATTTGACTCTAAATGACTTTAAGTACTCCCTATCAAGTAACGTATCTTTAACATCTCAAACAAATCTTCATTTCTATTTTTGTACTCTGCACTCTAAATCTAAAAGTTTAATACTTCTTCTCTAGAGATATACATGTAAGCTTCCATGTTAGTACCCAAACAGCCTACCTGGCAAAAGAGCCTTAGATTAAAAAATGCACTGTTACTGTAGGCCTAAATTGATCAAGTGAACTTAAAAAATTAAGAGAAATAGGCCAGGCGCAGTGGCTCACGCCTATAATTTCACCACTTTGGGAGGCCGAGGCGGGCAGATCACGAGGTCAGGAGATTGAGACCATCCTGGCCAACGTGGTGAAACCCCGTCTCCACTAAAAATACTAAAAAATTAGCTGGGTGTGGTGGCGGGCGCCTGTAGTCCCAGCTACTCGGGAGGCTGAGGCAGGAGAATGGCTTGAACCCGGGAGGCAGAGCTCGCAGTGAGTGAGCCAACATCACGCCACTGCACTCCAGCCTGGGCGAAAGAGAGAGACTCCGTCTCAAAAAAAAAAAAAAAATTTAAGATAAATATACATTACCACCTATACTTAAACCTGAGCAGAGGGATATTCTTGGCTGTATAGATTAAGACACCATTTAAATTCAAAGACAGGATGGTCAGACTGCAAACACTGGTCCACCTTCTAGTATAGTATGTGGAGATGGTATGGATGGAGGTGAATTCTGGAAAAAAAGGCTTGGGCTTATATGTAGAGGAATATATAGTTACATACTCAGCATTAGAAAGAGAAAAAACAAGGCTCTTAAGGAGTTCCACCTTCTGTTTTTCTTTAGTTTAACAAAACTATAAAATATACTCCAACTATATATTTTATTGTAAGAAGCTGAGTTTATATTACCAAAGATACTATATTATTAGGAAAGCTAACTTTAAATATGACTATTAATTCCATGTACATGAGGGACCTAGAGTAGATGAATTCAGAGAGACAGAAAGTAGAGTGGTGGTTGCCAGAGGCTGGAAGAGTGGGGATGAGGAGCTGTTGTTTAGTGGGTTTAGTTTCAGTTTTGCAAGATTAAGAGTTCTTTACAACAATGTCAAGTACTTAACAATACTGAACTATACACTTAAAAATGGTTAACATGGGCCGGGCACAGTGGCTCATGCCTGTAATCCCAGCACTTTGGGAGGCCAAGGTGGGCGGATCATGAGGTCAAAAGATCGAGACCATCCTGGCCAACATGGTGAAAACCCGTCTCTAGTAAAAGTACAAAAATTAGCTGGGCGTGGTGGTGCGTGCCTGTAGTGCCAGCTACTTGGGAGACTGATGCAGGAGAATTGCTTGAACCTGGGAGACAGAGGTTGCAGTGAGCAGGGATCGCACCACTGCACTCCAGCCTGGCAACAGAGCAAGACTCTGTCTCAAAAAAAAAAAAAAAAGTTAAGATGGTAAATTTTATGCTAAGCATATTTTATTACAATAAAAATATATTTTCTTTCTTAAAAATATGACTATGAAAAAATCTAATATTTTTGGGCTACTATGGAAATGCCTGCCATGTTCTGGCAAAACAGTGATTTTTTAATGACAAATGCCATGAAAAATAGTATGATGATCATAATGCAAACACGACCATTTTCTGTATTATTTAGGATAAAAAAAATGGGTCATAGAACCAGGGGAAGAAAGGTATCTAGAAGAGGAACTCTTACATCTTATCCTCTAATAATTAAAATACAGGTTCCGAACTTGTAGGTATAATTCTAGCTTATCCCATGCTTGTGGGGTGGCAACTAACATATTATTACCCCATTTCTGGGTACGACGTAGCAATGGATATATCCTATGAAACTACATAAGGATGGACAACCAGAATGGTAAACGGTATATCATATGAAGAACAAATGAATAAATTGAGAATATTTAACTTGTAAAATGGGAAAACATGTTAGCTACTTTAGGGCTTTGATGTGAAAGGAGTAGTAGAGGTACAGCTTAGCTTTAGCAATCACATTAAGTGTAGGTTCAACATAAAGAGCTTTAACTGTCTGCTAACAATGGCTACTTCCTTACTCTATCACTAGAAACACTCAAGAAAGGAATTAGTATGGACTCTTTGTACTAGGAATCCTGGGTTCTGGTTCTAGAATGTCAAGAAAATCATGTAATTTCTCTGGGCCTTAGTTCTTCCTCTGTTGGAACTGATAACCTAAATTGCTTGACAGATCTAAAAGATATTCTATAAAATTAAATGTTTAAATAATAAATTAAATAATAAATAAAATATTTAATAAATAACATAAATGGCAGGCATTATATTAAAATATAATATAGAAAATGGTCACTGCAAATGATCATATTGCATTATGATCACAATACTGTTTTTCATGGCATTTGTCATTAAAAATTAACTGCCCTCCACAACAGAAGAAAACTTAATCTCCTCCTCCTTCCCTGTATATCTATCTGTATCTATCTAGACAGACCTACCTACCTATCTTCCATCTGTCCGTCCACCCATCCATCCATCCAACAATTGAGACAGGGTCTTGTTCTGTCATCCAGGCTGGAGTGCAGTGGCAGTCATAGCTCACTGCAGTCTCCAACTCCTGAGCTCAAGTGATCCTCCCACCTTAGCTTGTGGAACTACAGAAAGGCACACAGCCACCATGCCTGGCTAATTAAAAACAATTTTTTTTTTTTGTAGAGACGGGGCCTTTCTATGTTTCCCATGCTGGTCTCAAACTCCTGGCCTCAAGCAATCCTCTCACCTTAATCTCCCAAAATGCTGGGATTACAGGTGTGAGCCACCAGGCCTGGCCTGTAACTTGTTACTTTAAACCTAAGACACTAAAAAGGATACTTTTTATTTAGTACATATTTTTCTATCCTACTTTTCAACAAACAGAACTACAGAAATGCCATGTAGACTATATTGGCATTATATAAACAATTAAATTTTAAAATTAAATTGAAAGACTATCCCTTCCGTTGAAATATGAAGTATTTTAACTTTCAATGATCTGAAAACAGCCAGAATGATCTCATATGCCATTTATCACAAATACCATAAAATCAGTGTAAAGCAAAATATGAATATAGAAGCAATTCTGCCTTATTAAGGGCAACCAGTCAGAAACAAATATAGTCATCCATAAATGCTAAAGAGGGAAAAGATAAAATAAATAAATAAAAGATCTGTGATAACAAGGGCCATTCATGATGACTCATAATGACTCATAATAATTTGGTTCAGGCCGGGCTTGGTGGCTCACGCCTGTAATCCCAGCACTTTGGGAGGCCAAGGTGGGTGGATCACCTGAAGTCAGGAGTTCAAGACCAGCCTGGCCAACATGGTGAAACCCCATCTCCACTAAAAATACAAAAAATTAGCCAGGCGTGGTGGCGGTCACCTGTAATCCCAGCTACTCGGGAGGCTGAGGCACAAGAATCGCTTGAACCCGGAAGGTGGAGGTTACAGTGGGCCAAGATTGTGCCACTGCACTCCAGCCTGGGTGATAGAGCAAGACTCCATCTCAAAAAAAAAATAAAAAAGTTTATTTCCCAAACAATGTCCTGCCTCCTAAAGATGCTTATTCAAAATAATATAAATAACATACTATTTCCACCACTTAAAGGCTTGCTTTGTCTGGGGTTGAAATACATTTTTGATGAATTTGTTCCTAATGAGATGATAGGACAGAAATCCAGCATTTAAGAATTTCATTTAAGTCCCAGGGCATGAGAGGTTCTATTTCTAGGTGAAAACAAAGAAACATTCTAATTTCTTCAAAATACAATCATGTGCTGCATGACATTATGGTGAACTGCATACATGACAATGGTCTCACAAGATTATTATAGCATATTTTTACTGTACTTTTTCTATGTTTAGATATATAAATACCTACCATTGTGTTACAATTGCTTACAGTATTCAGTACAGTAACATGCTATACATGTTTGTAGTCTAGGAGCAATAGGCTATACCATACAGCCTAGGTGTGCAGGAGACTACACCATCTGGTTTTGTGGAAATACATGCAAATCACCTAAAAATGCAGTTCTCAGAATGTATCCCTGGTGCTATGTGACACATGATAGTTAAATGCCAAAGCTAAACTAACTCTTCAATGTAAAATGAGTATCAATAACTAGAACTGGAGGACAGCATAAAATTTCAATATAGCAGAGAGGTTAAAAACACAGATTCTTGAATTTACGTCCTGACTCTTACTAGTTGTATATCCTCAAGCAAGTTACTTCCCCTGACTGAACTTCAGTCTCATCATCTGTAAAACAGGAATAACAATACCTGTTACAGGAATAACAAGAGTGTTGAGAACATTTCAGAACATTTGTGCAAGGTATATAAATATCAATAACAGCTATTATTACTTATAAGTATTAACTTGTTCCACCCAGAATACCACTGTAATTTTGAACACATAACTAACTCTTATTTGGATATGATGATTAAGTCACTTTGTTGAAAAATATGTAAGTCTTAAAAGTATTGGTTCTAGTATCATTCAGAAAGATTGTCTTTGTTTTCTTGTTCATCTCACTAAAATGTAATACCAAAATATCTCTTTTTTTTTTTTGGAGACAGGGTCTGCTCTGTCATCCAGGTTGGAGTGCATGAAGTGCAGTGGTGTGACCATAGCTCACTATAGCCTCAAACTCCTGGACTCAAGCAATTCTCCCAACTCAGCCTCCTGGGGAGTTGAGATTACAGGTGTGTGTCACAACAGCCAGTAAATTAAAAATTTTTTTTTGTAGAGACCAAGTCTTGCTGTTTCCCAGGCTGGTTTTGAACTCCTGGCCTCAAGTGATCCTCCCTTCTCGGCCTCTCAAAGTGCTAGGATTACAAGCATGAGCCACCACATCCAGCCCTCCCTATTTTTATTTCTGACTTTATGGCAAAGTTCAGGTTACCATTTAGATCAAAAATTTTTAAATCATTTTTTAAGTTTAAAGCATTCATAAAACCTATCAAAGTCTGATGGTCGTGGGGGTGGGAGATATGGTGGTGCTGAGAGTATTATATGTAGTAGAGCTACTGGACCCTAGACAATCTAATTCAACCTTTAGCTTGTATCCTGTTAACAAATATCCCTAGAAGAGAATGACTGAGAACTTCTCATGATCTCCAAGGCAGCCTATGCTAAGAAAATTCCAGTAATTGCCAGGTGTGGTGGCTCACCCCTGTAATCCCAGCACTTTGAGAGGCCGAGGCAGTGGATCACCTGAGGTCAGGAGTTCAAGACCAGCCTGGCCAACATGGCAAAACTCCATCTCTACTAAAAAATAAAAAATAAAAAATTAGCCCGGCGTGGTTGTAGGCGCCTGTAATCCCAGGTACTTGGGAGGTTGAGGCAGGAGAATAGCTTGAACCCGGGGAACGGAGTTTGCAGTGAGCCGAGATCACGCCACTGCACTCCAGCCTGGGTGACAGAGCAAAACTCCTTCTAAAAAAAAAAAAAAAAAATTCCAATAATTAAATAGTTCTTTACAAGGAGATGAATCTGCCTCTAGTGTCCACTCACTGGTTCTATCTAGTTCCACCTCCTGGGATTAGCATGGTCTAAATCTAACCCCTCCTCTTCAGAGCATTCCTTAAATTTATATGACTATTCCCACTTTTTCTCTGAAGCTAAATACTAGGGCTCCTTTTTAACACTTCCTCATATTTCAAGTACTCGCTTCATGCTCTAGCTGCTTTCCTCCATACCACCTTGGATTTAGTAAATACTAAAGCAGCACCCAGGATGAAACATAATATGATTATAAAAAGATGGGGAATGGGGAGCAAATCAGGATTATGACCCTCCTCTTCCTATTCTACTCTATACTTCAATGCAATCCAAGATTTCAGTTCCCTTTTGGACTGTTCCATCATTCAGTGGACTATATATTGTAATTCCAATGACTAAAACCTCCTTTTCCATAATCTAAGACCGTTTGGTATCCTGATCCTGCCATTTCAGCATATTATTTATCTTCCCCAACTTCTTAACATCTGCAAATTTAATCAGCACACCATCAGTGTCCTCATCTATATCATTAATTAGAAGATATGCCAAGAACAGAATCCTTTCAGGCAACAGTGCAAACAGTCTTCCAGGGTAACAATCTATTTATTTGTCAGCCCTCTCCGGGTAAGGCTGCTCAGGCAAAGTCCCTCACACTGAGCTATCATTCTGCCTGTATTTCTCCATCTTACAAGGACCTATGTGAAGCTGTCAAAATCCTTGTTGAAATAAAACCTCGGTATTTTCACAGAATTCTTTTGCTCTAATAAATTTTTAAAAAAGGAAATTAGTTCATTTAAATCAGTGACAGTTAAACTTTTTAGCAGTAAACACTTTTTGTTCAAATAAAATCTTCCCAGGAATCATAAAATTAAACACAGCTAATCAAAAGTATTTTAAAAGTATACATTTGTCTTATAGTATCGTATTTTAAAAATTATCTCATTACAGAATTGTCCAACCTGTGTTGTCAAAATAGGTTTTCTAAAGATTTACTGGTAATTATCAGTTGGATATTATCAGTATTACCACCCCAATAAACATTCAAAATGAATTTTAATGTGAAAAGCTTTGAAAGTTCCACATTAAAGAAAACTGCTAAACTTTACCTCCAAAATTATATTTATCTATTTTTATCTTTTATTTATTTTTTGAGACGGAGTCTCGCTTTGTTTCCCAGGCTGGAGTGCAGTGGCGTGATCTCGGCTCACTGCAACCTCTACCTCCCGGGTTCAAGCAATTCTCCTGCCTCAGCCTCCCCAATAGCTGAGATTACAGGTATCCACCACCATGCCCGGCTACTTTTTTTGTATTTTTAGTAGAGACAGGGTTCCATCATGTTGGCCAGGCTGGTTTCAAACCGCTGACCTCAAGTGATCTGCCCGCCTTGGCCTCCCAACGTGCTAGGATTACAGGCATGAGCCACCATGCCCAGCCTATTTATTTTTAAAAGACAGGTTTTTACTCTGTCACCCAGGCTGGACTGCAGTGGCTCACTGTAGCCTCCAGAGTACCCAGGACTAGAGGTGGACACTACCATGCCCAGCTAATTTTTTTTTTTTTTTTTGTAGACAGGTTGCCCAGGCTGGTCTCCAACTCCTGGGCTCATGCAATCCTCCCACCATGCTGAGATTACAGGCAGGAATCACTACGACTGGCCCAAAATTATACTTAAAAATTTGAGACAGGCATGCTCGCTTTGGCAGCACATATACTAAAATTTGAGCCAGGTGTGGTGGCCCACACCTGTAATCCCAGCACTGTGGGAGGCCGAGGTGGGCGGATGGCTTCAGCCCATAAATTCAAGATCAGCCTAGGCATCATGGAGAAATTCCATCTCTACAAAAATAAATAAATAAAAATAAATTAGCTGGGTGTGGTGGCATGCACCTGTGAAGTCCCAGCCACTCCAGGGGCTGAGGTGGGAGAATAGCTTGAGCCTGGGAGGCGGAGGTTGCAGTGCGAGTCGAGATCACCACACTGCACTCTGGCCTGGGTGAGAGAGGGAGAACCTGTCTCAAATGAATAACTACATAAAATTTAAATCAAATGTTTAAGACACCTCCAAAAGCAAACATTATGAAGACTCCTGACCTATATGACATTTTTTGTGTGTGAATCCACGGCGACTTTTAGTAATAATTATAACAGCAGTTACTTCAGATATTTGATATGTTCTAGTTACTTTGCCTAAATTCTCATTTAATTCTCACCCTAATGTCACAAGAGGAGCTAATTAACTGAGGAAACTATGCTCAAAAGGCCAAGTAACTTTATTGCAAGCCATTAAGTGGTAAAAACCATTTTCCAACCCAAGTCCTTCCAAACCTATAATCCACACATGCTACTGTTGATGCAGCTTCTCAAACCTTCCTTTCCTAAGTCTTTACAAATCTAACTCTTCCAAAGAACTGATGCAATTAAAGTTGCTGCACACCAAGTACTGCTGCTTTCCCTTTAAAATTTGGAAGATTTACCTCTTTCCACTCTTCCTGCCTCAAAGATGATTAAGAAATCTCACATGCAAGATTTTCTCAACATAAAAAAATATTGAGGGCAGAATGCCTGAACACAACTCAAATTTTTTTTTTTCTTTTTTTGAGACGGGGTCTCACTCTGCTGCCCAGGCTGGAGTGCCATGGCACAATGACACCTAACAGCAATGTGGACCTCCTGGGCTCAAGCGATCTTCCCACCTCAGCCCCTACCCCAGTAGCTGGGACTACAGGCACTGGCTAATTTTTTTGTAAAGATGGGGTTTCAGCATATTGCCCAGGTTAGTCTCAAACTCCTGAGCTCAAGCAATCTTCTGCCTCAGCCTCTTAAGTAGCTGGGACTACAGTTGTGCAACACCATGTCTGGCTGATTTTGTTTATTTTTTGTAGAGATGAGGTCTCCCTATTGCTCAGGCTGGTCTCAAATTCCTTGACTCAAGCGATCTGCCCTCCTCGGCCTCCCAAAGTGTTGGGATTATAGGTGTGAGCCACTGTGTGGCCAACTCCAGGTAATTTCTTACAGTAGCTTCATTTATCTTGACCTTCAAGTTCCTTTTGCCTAAAATACATTGTTTTCACTGTATTTTACATCATCCTGCTATTTACTTTAGGTTTTTTTTTTTTTTTTTTTTTGAGAGACAGTGTCTCCCTCTGTTGTCCAGACTGGAGTACAGTGGCATGATGATGGCTCACTACAACCTCTGCCTCCCAGGTTCCAGCGATTCTCCTGCCTCAGCCACCCCAGTAGCTGGGATTACAGTTGTGCACCACCACAGCTGGCTAATTTTTTTTTAAGTTTAGTAGAGAAGGGGTTTCACCATGTTGGCCAGGCTGCCCTCAAACTCCAGGACTCAAGCAATCCACCCACCTCGGCCTCCCAAAGTGCTGGGATTATAGGCGTAAACCACCACACCTGGCCCATCCTATTTACAATTTAAAATATCAAATTCCCTCTGGTTGTGGTAGCTCACGCCTGTAATCCCAGCACTCTGGGAGGCAGAGATGGCAGGATTGCTTGAGTCCCAGGAGTTCAAGACCAGCCTGAACCACACAGCAATAACCTGTCTCTTCTAAAAAAAATTAGCCAGGTGTGGTGGCGCACGCCTGTAGTCTCAGATACTTGGGAGACTGAGGTGGGAGGATCGCTTGAGCCCAGGAGGCTGATGTTGCAATGAGATCAGGCCACTGCACTCTAGCCTGAGCGACAGATTGAGACCCCATCTCAAAAAAATAAATAAAATAAATATAAAATTCACAACAAAGCCACAAGATATGAGAAAGCAAAAATAAAACCAAAATCCCCAATAGCATTATAGAAAAGAGCTCCTAATTTTTTCAAATCAGATGTTTCTAATTTCTGCAGAAAACGGAGGTGGGTAAAGGTGTTCTGAATGACTGAGCCAGACACATTTACTAGATCACAATCTCCTACTAAGTATATATATATATATATACTTAGTATGTATATATATATAAAACCAATATATTACCAACTTGTTAATGGTTTAGCCCCATGAACAAGTATTAACTCTTATAAGGCACTCCTTATTCCCAGGACTCAAGTTACTTTATTTCACAACTTACCATGTTCAGTTTCACCATATAGGAAAATGTTTTCTTTTAAAGTCACACACGGCCGGGCGCGGTGGCTCACGCCTGTAATCCCGCCTCAGGAGGCCGAGGCGGGCGGATCACTTGAGGTCAGGAGATGCAGACCATCCTGGCTAACACGGTGAAAGCCCGTCTCTACTAAAAATACAAAAAATTAGCCGGGCGTGGTGGCGGGCGCCTGTAGTCCCAGCTACTCGGGAGGCTGAGGCAGGAGAATGGCGTGAACCCGGGAGGCGGAGCTTGCAGTGAGCCGAGATCGCGCCACTGCACTCCAGCCTGGGCGACAGAGCGAGACTGTCTCAAAAAAAAAAAAAAAAAAAAAAGAAAAGAAAAGAAAGAAAAAGTCACATACAAATTTCAATGAGCATAAGATAAAGTATTTGATAAATAAAGTCAGCTAGGTTAGATTTTTCCCAGTGGAAGTTTAGTGTAAAACCTATGCAACTGGGGACAGAGAAACCTCTAATGTGTGAGACTGAAGGGGTCTCAGATGCGAAATTACTGAGTAGAGTCCCATGGTCTTGGAAACCTCGGTGGTGTCTTCCAAACTGTGTAACTCAATCGCTAGGGACAAACCTGTAGCCTGACAAATTTAGGTTTATTGACTGAATACAATGAAGGACAAGCACATCAGAGAAGTGTGAAGCATCTCATGTAACAGAAAAAATTACAGAATTTTGGAGAAGGGTAGAACTAAGATAAATGAAGCAGTATCTTGATAGACTATAAGCACAGAACTGTGTTAAAGGGATCAATATCAGGTCTGGACTGCAGAGTGGAACTAGGGTCCTATTTCCTGGGAAAGAAGTTAGGGTAGATGCAGAGTTTTGTGTTTAACAACCCCTTATCCAAAGCTCTGAAGTTGTAAATCAAAGCTAGTTCTCTGTGTCAAAATGACTTAGATCTTCCTGACAAAAGTGTGACGTTCATTTTTACTCAGAGAATTCCAAACAGTAAAGTTTCTGATAGTCTCTGATTTTATAGAACCAAGTTTCTCTGTAAGAGAGCAGTAGTCACTCAAGGAAGAGGGGTTGTTAAGAATCTCTAGAGCTGCAGCAAGTCCTTGGAAGACAAGCAGCTGTATGTTATCCCAGTGTAAGAGATAGCAGCACCGACTTTTACTCTTTCAGTGGAGCTAATATTTAGTTTCTTGAGTAGTTCATTTTCTAAGTCATTTTATTGTGACCTAGAACACTCCAACCAAAGGTAGCTGGAAGGGAAATCTCCCTGAAGATCGCCTTGCTTAGCACAGAACTGAACAGATACACAATTCAAATAATAGTAACACCTAAGAAGCACCTGAAAACTGCAATACCTAGTTGAAACACTCTTAAGCAGCCTGTGATCTCTTCATCTAAAGTGTTTCAAAGACCTACAATTAAGACCATTTAAATAGTAGTTATTTTAAAACATGGCAATATAACTGTATAACGATTAGTTTCACTTCCTAGAATCTAGACAGCAATAATTTTTTCCCAACAAAATAAAGGGGCGCCCAGTTTGACCGAAGTGGTCTTGTGCTAAAAAATAAAAGGTTTCCTCCTGGGGCCGGACGCTGTGGCTCACGCCTGTAATCCCAGCACTTTGGGAGGCCGAGGTGGGCGGATCACAAGGTCAGGGGATCGAGACCATCCTGGCCAACACGGTGAAACCCCGTCTCTACTAAAAATACTAAAAAATTAGCCGGGCGTGGTGGCGGGCGCCTGTAGTCCCAGCTACTCGCGAGGCTGAGGCGGGAGAATGGCGTGAACCCGGGAGGCGGAGCTTGCAGTGAGCCGAGATCGCTCCACTGCATTCCAGCCTGGAGGACAGAGCGAGACTCGGTCTCAAAGAAAAAAAAATAAATAAATAAACAAACAAATAAATAAAAGGTTTCCTCCTATTGTCCACAACATGTGAGTCTCCTAGGTGCAGTCTCCAGTCTCAACAATCCAAAAAGCTACTTCTGAATTTAGAGTAATACGGTCACATTCCTTTTACAGCTAGGAATTGTTTTTAAAATGCAAATTTAACACTTTTCAGCATGCTCAATACTTTTTAAGTTCAAAGTTTGCAAAGTAACCCATTTGGCCATGCAGACTGTAAGTCATACAACTCTAGAGGGACAACCTTCATGTAGAATGCGTAGGCGCAGTATCCCAGCGTTACACAGTATGGTGACTGTTACATTTTTGGGAAAAAACAGGCCAAAAAAACCCCAAAAACCAAAAACTTTTATTCAAAATTAGCTTTCTTTCTTAACTAACGGTGTTTTTTGGGCTGGAGGAAGCCAGTGAGAAAAAGTTTTGAAAATTGTAAAATGCTTTGTGACTGCAAGATACTATTACTCCAATGGAGTTCAACATCTCCACTATATAAACCCAGAAGAGGCTGAAATCCGTTTCCTGATACCCAGGGCTTCTTTTGTTGTGCCAGGATTATCTCTCCCCAATAATTAATCACTAATCGACTTAAAACACTAAAAACTCAACCACTTAACCTATTTGTAACCTCAGTCAAGTTAATCATTTCCTTCTAATTTTAATGCATTAAGTTTTACAATAGGCGTTAAACCTTTTTCAAATGCAATGGTTTTTCCTTTAGTCTTTTAATACATTGACTCACAGAAAGATTGTTTTGTTCTTGGGACAAACCCTACTTGATCACATATATTTTTAATACAGTTCTCACTTAACGTCACTGATAGGCTCTTGGAAAGTGGAGCCTTAAGTGAAATGTTGCAGTAGACCTTTCTCATCGACCTTGTAACACAACATTATTAAAAAACCTGTTTACTGTATATCATGTTGCTTAAAGTTAGAAGTTTCCAAGAGCCTACTGATGACAGTGAGTTAGTGTACTCATTGGTTTCAGTTAGCTAATTGTCTGTTTAGCATTTTTGCATCCATATTTTTATGTAAAATGAGCCCCTCATTCCCTTTTTGTCCTTTAGGTGGCTTTGGAATCACCTAGTTAAGGGGAAACGCCCTCATATTTTGAAACGTATAAACTTAAAACAATGCCACCTTTTTCTCGGCAAAGGTTCACACTAAATACTCCACTGGTTTTTCCTCCTGTCAGGTGTATCTCCCCTTAATCTCTTCACATTTTCTCCTCTTCCTCCCTAGAAAATTAGGCCTCCCCACAACAAAAGTTCTATTATGAACTGTAACTTGCTCCAAAGAAGACAAAATGTGCTAACACCGTGACAAAGTGTACCCTGTGACAATGTCACATTGAAAAGATCACGAACTGGCTTTGGGTTGTTCACAGTGGGATACAAATTCCTGCTTCATCTCTTAATAGTTAGGTGAACTGTGTAGTTACTTTTTTTATCCTAACCTCAGGCCTAACATATGAAATGAGGATAACATATGCCTTTAAGAGTTGTGCATGATTTTGAAATATGTATAAAGTACCTGGTGGAATTATTTGGCATCTAAGAGTTGCTCAGTAATTGCTAATTCTACTAAGTGAGGAAGTGATTTTTTTTCAGCTCATGCTGTTAAATGTCCTCAATCCACCAACCCACAATTTAGAAATCCAAAAAGTTCTGAAAATTAAGTATTTTCATAACTTACATGGTGGCAAAATATGATGACCTAAATGTGAGGCCTTTCATATCTCAGTGTGAAAATTCCTAAGTTCACTAGAGTTTTTTTTTTTTTTTTTTTGAGACGGAGTTTCGCCCTTGTTGCCCAGGCTCCAGTGCAATGGCGTGGTCTCGGCTCACTGCAACCTCCGCCTCCTGGGTTCAAGCGATTCTCCTGCCTCAGCCTCCTAAGTAGCTGAGATTATAGGCATGCGCCACCACGCCTGGCTAATTTTGTATTTTCAGTAGAGACGGGGTTTCTCCATGTTGGTCAGGCTGGTCTCGAACTCCCGACCTTAGGTGATCTGCCCGCCTCAGCCTCCCAAAGTGCTGGGATTACAGGCATGAGCCACCGCGCCTGGCCCTCACGAGAGATATTAATGTGATTGTTTACAGGAGTACTACCCTAAACTAGTGATGGTACATTACTATACAGTACATGCATCCTGTTACCTTTTGGGAATTCCACATTTTTCAAAAATTTTAAACCACATATGGCCCCAATGGTTTCAAACTAGGAATGTGGACTTCTAATACACTCTCTGTAAAATCAAATACTGTATATACAAATAGTAAAAAGGAGAATGACTAAGATTTATGCAGTCTAAATCCAGCCTTGATATTATCTCTACACTAACTCCTTGGGTTCAAAGTCATCACTGGTAAACTGAAGGAACGGGACTTAAGTTCTTTCTAGCTTATTTTTTTAATTTAGTACTTTTAACTATCTCTCTCAGCCTGAGCAACATGGTGAAACCCTGTCTACAAAAAATTAGCCAGGCGTGGTGGGCCACACCTATAGTCCCAGCTACCTGAAAGGCTGAGGTGGGAGGATCACCTGAGCCTGAAAGGTTGAGGATGCAGTGAGCCTGTGATCGCACCAGTGCACTCCCGCCTGGGTGACAGTGAGATCCTGTCTCCAAAAAAAAAAAGTATCTCTGAAAATTATTTTAAATATTGAGTTGAGCAAAAACGCTAAGTTAAACATTTTGGCTGTTTTTCCTAAAATGTTTTAAACAGCTAAAAATCAATGTGTATGGAATGTATTCACCATTGAGGAGATATTAAAAAAAACCTGACCATCTTCACACTGAATACTAGGCAAGAAAGATTAGTACCATGGAAAAAAAATGCTAGTTTTGTATTCAGATCTGAGCTCAAACCTTAGCTCTGCTATCATAGCTCTGTAACTGTAACATATTCTTTAAGCTTGTTTTGTCATGTTACATGGTGATAAAGAAAAATACTTGTTACAGGGTTGTAATAAGGATAAAACAAAGTGAAAACCTCTAGCACAGTTCCTGACTGCATTTTTTCTCAATGTTTGTTGAAAATGAAAACATTTTAAACATTTAAAATGAAAATTTTAAACACTGTAATTTTCAGGTAATTAATTACATGTATGTTGAGCAAAAGTGAATACTTTTCTTATAAAAGTAACTTTCCGGCCGGGCGCGGTAGTTCACGCCTGTAATCCCAGCACTTTGGGAGGCTGAAGTGGGTGGATCGCCTGAGGTCAAGAGTTCGAGACCAGCCTGGCCAACATGGTGAAACCCTGTCCCTACTAAAAATACAAAAGTTAGCTGGGTGTGGTAGTGGGCACCTGTAATTCCAGCTACTCTGAGGCTGAGGCAGGAGAATCACTTGAACCCGGGAGGTGGAGGTTGCAATGAGCCGAGATTGCACCATTGCACTCCCGCCTGGGCAACAAGAGGGAAATCCCATCTCAAATAAATAAATAACTCCCCCATTATTCAGGCATTGTAAATTATGTATCTTTGATGGCATGTCTTTGAAGGAATTATGTCTTTTTAGAGGAAACTGACAGGTAATTTTAAAAAGTATAGATCCAAGGTTAATAAACTCACTTCTCTCTCTCTCTCTCTCACACACACACACACACACACACACACACACACACTAGAGAATAAGAGAATGAGCCAGTCTCATCTACAACCATATTAAACTTGTGTCTTCATGTGCACATTTGGTAACACATTTTGAACTACCTTGAATTTTCAAGTTTCTAGTTTTTCTCTTTAGCTGAGGACTTCTTGAAACCAATTGTTTTGGGGGAGAGAATATTTTTAGAATCCAGGCATGGCCCAAACAATTCTCTTTGAAAAGAAAGCAAACTGGAATCCTGGGAAAGCCGTTAATTCTCAACACTACTTATAAACATGACAAACAATAAAATAAATTCTATAACAACTTGTAAGAGCTTATGTTTTCACATCTAAATTTTCAATGGTAAGGTTCCTTACAATCTCAAGTGTTAAACAAAAGGTATCAAGCACACTTAGGTTACAAGGAGAAGCAAAAAGATTGGTTTGAGCAACCTGGATCACTTTCAATAAGGGAGGAGGATCTCTGGAGAGTGTAACAGCTGAATTTCAAGAAATCTGGTTTCTAGTTTGGGCAAGTCAGTAAATCTGAGCTTTCTTTCTCACCTCTTACAAGTAATGGCATTTTCCTTCCTTCCTCACAAAGTTGACTCATGAAAGCACTTAAAAAAGTTAAAAATGTTACATACTATGTTCTTTAATCAGCACTAATAACATTAATATTGATCGGGCAGAAGGTACAGCGATCATGCGGGTGGGGACCAGAATTGGGAATTGGGAATTGGGAAATCTAGGTTCTCAGCCCAACATTTGCACCTGCTAGTTCGTGATGCAAGGCACCTCACTTATCCAGGTCCCCATTAAACTAGGTTTAATAAAGTGAGTTTGCCTAAACCTCTTCCTAGCTCCAAGGCTAATTTTAAGCTATTAATTTGAATCCAAGGCCTAAAATATTTGAGCTCTCATTTAACAGTCGGCCACTGCAAAGGGTAAAGACAGCAATCTTGTATGAACAAAGTTAAACATAACGTGCTAGACACAGGTCTTTGCAAAACCATGCAGTAGCCAATAGGTCCACCATACCACCCTTCATTTGGAAATTGATGCTAAGGTGCCATAGGTACATTTCCAAATGCTCTTAAAATGTTTAGGTTCATATTAAAATAAAAATGGATATTTATGGTACAATGAGAACCAGAAAAACTGCAAAATTATACACAGGCCTAAGGGCAGAAATACCCCAAAAGACGACACAGTGACAATATTTTCCAACTTGTGCTTTTTTGTTTTTAAAACAAGGCTGATGATTCTGAAATCAGGTCAATGTCTATCACTTTTTTCGTTGATGTTAAATGCACTAAGGGAATATAGATTCTTCAATTATACTTTGAAACAACATCATTTCCCTAAGTCAGGACTTTTTTATTGCAAAATTTAACAAACCACCAAACTCAAGTTTAATTATTTCTGCTTTATTATTGGTCATGAATAAAGACTTCTTTTAAAAAATAATTACAAAGAATTTATGACTAAAATATACTCCGTAACCAACTTGCTCTGAAATTAATAATTTGAAAATGGCAAAGAAAAAAAAAAACAGCCCACAACATATTAACTTCACTCTTCAATTAGGGGAAATAAACAAGGTCAAAATTAGTTTAAACAACATACTGAGTAATAAAAAAGTTGTGCAGAAGTCCCAATGCCTCCAAAAAACTGATAGAATGTGCTTAATATATATATCCCCACATGGTAACATAAAAAATCCAAGTTTTCCAGTAAAAATGTTCTGTTCATGTTCCAATACCTAAATCTGGGAAAACAAATTCAGGCAGATGAGATAAGAACGTCACCACAATAAAATAAAGTCATCAAAACTTAGTGAACTAAAATTTAAAAGGTAGAGGAATTATTTTTCCTAATTTGACCTAATTTGACCACACAGTAATTACTTCCAGAAGACAAAAGATCCAATCCAGGTAAAATAAATCTTTATTTTATTATTTTACCTGATCCTAAAGAAAATATTCTACGTGAGTTGATGGATACATTGGTCAAGTTTTATGCCAAAAAAATTACGCAAACTATACTCTGAAAGAGCTATCCAGACTCCTTGCCAAAAGGCCAGCATAACTTTCAGAGTAGAGATCGTGAGTTACCACAGATGCTGATTGAAACAGAGCTAACAGCAGCTTTCTCCTCATTCCCACCCCGTGTGTAGGAGTACGCAGTCTCATACCACCACCAGTTGGAGGATGATCTAGTCTGGAGACAGAACGGTGTAGAACAAAACCCTTGCCAGGGTCCCAAACCTCTCTTTAGAACTCTAATTAAAGGTACTTCCGTTTCCCACACAACTTGGAATGAAGGGGAAGCAACGACTGTTAAAACATTTAAAAACTAAGCCTTTATCTATTTATTTAGAAAACACACTATGCAAAGAAGCCAATTCCTTACATTAAAAATATTTATTTGCAACAGCTCTCCTTTTTAAGGCCTCAACAGATTGGACTAAACCACACCCCTCCATAAATGGCACATTCCATACAATAGCCTGGAGAATGGCATAGGACGATTCCACCGACAGCTGGGGGAATAGCAAACTTGTTGAAATTCCGAGAATGAAGTCTGATGGTTACCCGAACCTAGCCCTTTTATTACTAAAGTCACTCGGGGACAAGAGGGTTACAAAAATATCCCGAGACGCGTACGCGGGTGAGAGTGGAACGAGAACCACACGGGATTTGGGCCGTGCTGTTAACCCGCACCTCCCTGAGTACGGACATTTCCCCGAGGAAGGACATTTCTAGTCGGAGAGAAAGAGCGAACTTTGGGGTTAACTCTCTCAAAACTCTGAGGTGGGGAGAGAGGCAGCAGCCCATTATTTTCCAGGATCCAGTCCCGAACTCTCACTTTTGCCCGGGGGGAAAAAAACGGGTCCCGCCCACGCTCGGCCCGATCCGGGAGGCGGGGCCTGCAGCGACCCCGAAGGACAGAGGCGGGGCCGGTTGGCAGTGCTGCCCCTCCCCCTTTGCCAGGAACACCCCCGTCCGCTACAGAGAGGGCTCAGGGCCCCCACCCCCGCGCCAGTCGCTGGGGGAAGGGGCAATACGGGTGCCTCCGCCCCTCCTCGCTGAAGGTGGGGAGTGGAGCTCGAGTCCGCCCGCCTCCCCGCGCTGGCTCCAAGGGGACGGCCCCGAGGAGGTGGGGCCTCTTGGGGGCGCTGACTTCACACCCCTCCCCCTCCGGCCGCTGGCGGCTCAGGGACACCCCGCCCGCTCTAGTGCGGTGGGTGGGGGAGGCAGCTGAGCAGACCGGAGCCCTGCAGCGGCGCGGGGCGGGGAGGGGCGCGCGCACGGGCGCGCAGCCACCACCCCCGCGCGCCAGCAGGGCCCCCCACGCTCAAGGGTGCGCGCGGGCCCCGAAAGGGAGGAGGCCGCGCGCGGCACCGGGGATGGCGGACTCTAGCCTTCTGTCCCCCACTCTTTTCACCACTCGCCCCCATCCCCCTCCAACCCGCTCCAGGCCTCAGACTCCGCACTGACCTGACAGGCCGCGACATGTTCGCTGTCGAAACAGGACCGAGTCGAGAAGCCAAAGACCAGGACCCCCCCCACCCCGCGCGCTCGGCGCCCCACCCCCCCCGAACTTCAGCCGATGGGACCGCTGCTGCCGAACCCCGAGCTGCTGGCTTCTCAAACTCCGCTGCTCTTTGGTTCAGGGCTCCTGGAACAGACGAGCCCCCCGCTCCCCCGTCTCTTCAAAATGGATGAATCAAACCAGCCGAAAATGCGCCAAAGCCGCCGTGCAACCAAACCCACTAGGGTTTGTGCGCTCCTCCCCAACACGCCTGCTCATTGGAGACTTCTGCCAGATGCGCCCAGATCATTAGTCCGTTTGAATCATCACGTCTTCCAGGCCCCGCCCTGCTCTCTGATAGGCTCCACCTTCACCGTGGGGGTCCTGTTAGTCAAGATGCTCTGAGAGCGCACGGCCGCAAAACAAAAATGGTCGCTGCTTAGCCCGCCCCCTGGTTTCCACTCCAGAGTTGCAGATTCGTCTGGGGTCGTATCTTAGAAAGACTAGAAAAAAAGATTTATGTAGGGTTCAGCGTTGCTCAGTGTTAGTTTAATGGTGTTTCATCTCGTCTGCCTTGATCACCTTGAAAATCCTCTAATAGCAAAACCCGTGGGAGAGGCAGCAGATTCGTCACTGCGGGGCTGCTACAGAATTGGAGGGAAATTCCTTAGGTTCAAAAAATTTGACCTTAAACCTACAAGCCCCTTACCCTGGCTTCGGCATTAACCCTCAGGGACCAAATGAGGCTGCTGGAGTAGAGAGGCAGGATCATAATCAAGGAATATCTTCACCCCCAATTACCATTCTCCATTCTGGACCTTGAGATCCACTTCAGGGTCATTAAAGTCCCAGTCTGGTGCATTACTATTTTAAGAAAAGAGTCAGGTGTACAATAACTAAGAGCATGAGCTCAGGGGCCACAAGGTATTTCAGGTGGAATCCCAGGTCCACTACTTAATGGTGGTATAACTTTCCTTCTCTGTGCCTCAGTTTTCTCATCTGTAAAATGGGAAACAAGGGTACCTAACTGCATAGGCTTATTAGTATTAAATGAGTTGATATATCTATCAAAAGTCTTTAGGATAGTCTCTGGCTCACAGTAAGTGCTACGTAAGTGTTAAATCCAAGTTTTAAAAGATGATTCCGTCCCTGGGTAGAGATGGGTGGAGCTGGCTCAAGACCCTATGAATTCTATTGATTTACCCTTGCACTTTGAAAAACAAAACAAAGACTCTTCGAAGTCATATAACTGAAAGTAACGCACATCATTTCACTTAAATCCGTGAGCATTTGTTGGATGCCTAATACTCTCAAAGGCAGAGCTCAGGATTCCTATGTGAATGGCTAAGGCTGAGTCTGCTATCGAAAATAGACGTCAATCCCTGTCACAGTCAAAGCGATCATTTTTGTTTGGTGGCTGTGCGCTCTCAGAGCATCTTGACTAACAGGACCCCACGGTGAAGGTGGGGCCTATCAGAGAGTAGGGTGGGGCCTGGAAGACGTGATGATTCAAACGGACTAATGATCTGGGCGCATCTGGCAGAAGTCTCCAATGAGCAGTCAGTTAACAACCAATTGAAGATACACTTTCCAAACAACAACAACAAAAAACACACCACATCTGCCTCCTGAAAGTCTCCCTTTGTAAAATCTGGCTTCCCAAAAAGAAGAGAATAGCACAGTCCACCAGTGAAGCATTAAACAAATTAATATCTTTTGTCTCTTCCATGTCATTCCACCCTCTGTCCCTCTTATTTTTATTTTTAATTTTTATTTTTTCGAGACGGAGTCTCACTCACTATGCTCCCCAGGCTGGATTGCAGTGGCACGATCTCTGCACACTGAAACTTCCACCACCCGGGTTCAAGCGATTCTCCTGCCTCAGCCTCCCAAGTAGCTGGGATTACAGGCGTGCTCCACCATGCCCAGCTAATTTTGGTATTTTATTGTGGAGATGGGGTTTCACCATGTTGGCCAGGCTGGTCTTGAACTCTTGACCTCAAGTGATCTGCCTGCCTTGGCCTCCCAAAGTGCTGGCATTACAGGAGTGAGCCACCGCACCCGTCCCCCGCAATTTTTTTAAATTGTGGTTAAAAAAAAAATACATAACATAAATGTACCACTTTAACTGTCTCTAAGTGTACAGTTAAGTGGCGTTAAGTACATTCACATTGTTATGCAACCATCACCACGATTCAACACCAGAACTTTCTCATTTTCCCAAACTGAAACTCTGTGCCCATTAAACACTAACTCCCCACTTTCCCCCTTCCCCATAGCCGCTGGCAACCACCATTTTACTTTCTGTCTGTATGAACCTGACTGCTCTAGGAATCTCATGTTAGTGTAATCATACAGTATTTGTCCTTTTGTGACTGGCTTATTTCACTTAGCATAATGGCATCCAGGTTTATCCATGTTGTAGCAAGTGTCAAAATTTCCTTTCTCTTAAAGGCCAAATAATATTCCACTGTATGTATATGCCACATTTTGTTTATCCACTCATCCATCAATGGACACTTGGGTTGCTTCCACCTTATGGCTATTGTGAATGATGTTGCTGGGCAAGTGGGAGTACAAATATGTTTGAGTACCTGCTTTCCTTTCTGGATATATACCCAGAAATGGAATTGCTAGATCATACAGCTATTCTGTTTAATTTTTTGAAGAATTGCCGTATGGATTCTCCATCAGCTGTATCATTTTACACTCCTACCAGCAATGTGCAAGTGTTCCAATTTCCCCATGTCCTTGCCAACAGTAAGTTTTTTACAATAGCCATCCTAATGAGTGTCCATATACGGTTTTTTTTTTTTTTTTTGAAACGGAGTCTCGCTCTGTTGCCCAGGCTGGAGTGCAGTGGTGCGATCTCTGCTCACTGCAAACTCCGCCTCCCAGGTTCACGCCATTCTCCTGCCTCAGCCTCCCAAGTAGCTGAGACTACAGATGCCCGCCACCACGCCTGGCTAATTTTTGTATTTTTAGTACAGACGGAGTTTCATTACGTTGGCCAGGCTGGTCTCAAACTCCTGACCTCAGGTGATCCACCCGCCTCGGCCTCCCAAAGTGCTGGGATTACAGGCATGAGCCACCACGCCCAGCCTTTTTTTTTTTTTTAGATAGAGTCTAGCCCTGTCACCTGGTCTGGCTCACTGCAGCCTCTACCTCCCGGGTTCAAGCAATTCTCCTGCCTTAGCCTCAGAGTAGCTGGGATTACAGGCATGCGCCACCACACCTGGCTTTTTGTATTTTTAGTAGAGACGGGGTTTCACTATGTTTGCCAGGCTGGTCTCGAACTCCTGACCTCAAGTGATCCACCCACCTCAGCCTCCCAAAGTGCTGGGATTACAGGCGTGAGCCACCGCGCCCGGCTCCATATATGTTTTGACTAAGTGTATTACCATCCCCACTATTGTCAGAATGCCAGGGCAGAAACTTGGGTGGCAGAGTGATCACCAAGTGGCTTTGGTGGAGGCTCTTTTATTAGGCCAAATTGTTATTATTTTAGTAAACATCATTATTTGGTATTGTGAGATGGGGCAGAGGAATTCTTGTTACTCATTTATTAGGTAGTGAACAGAAATGACCATAGTCAACATTTGCAGGCAGGTGGAAAGTTCAGAATAGGTCTTCAGGTTGTTGGCCTGATAGTGTAGTGCAAGGCCAGTATACAAATGGCCACTGAGTGAAGACTCTCCTCCTTCCAAGTTCAGCCTCATATCCTACCTTTCTCTTCACTGCAGCTTCAGCTAACATCTTCCTTCCATTTGCTCATTTATTCACTTAGTATTGCAATCAACATCGTCTCTCAGGGAAGAAATAACTTAAGACTTGAACTTCGAGTTTACTTTTTAGTGGACAAGTACAGAACTATGGCCAGTAGTGCCAAAAGAACGTGGAATGCAGTCTCCAAGGTCAGTTCCCTCTAATCTGTACCCCAGTGATCTGCCCTGTGTACCTGTTTTAACCACAATCAGTTTGCTGGAAACTGAAGAAGGACACTGATCATAGGATAGGTCAGGTTTTAGAAGCACTATCTGATAACCCCGAAGGGACAATATGTGTAATAAAACTAGGAGAAACTATGAAAACAGAAAAGCCTCAGGAGACAGAAAAGGCGGAATTATTCCTTTTCCCTGGAAATGAAATCTCATGGCCTTTTAAACACAGTGCTTAATTTTCCCCTGTGATTTTTAGTTATGTTTTGAGAAGTACCATTTTCCTTCTCCTTCACATATGTTAGACAGTAAGAACTGGCAGTGCTGGGATGGTAAGACTGATGGGTTTTCCACATACCCAACAAAAACCCATTTCCATCAAGGGCTACACTATAGCAGCTGAGAGCTTCATAAAAATTTTTCAGCATTGTGTGCTGGGCACTTCCAGTTCTGTGATCTCATGAAAGTCAACCAACCAGGTCTAAAGACAGAGACTGCTTCCACAGAGAACAGGACCACAGAAGGGTACCACTCTTTGGAGATGCTGCCAGGAAGTTAAAGAAACCTCCAACTCTTTTTTTAAAAATTTTTTATTTTTAAATCTTCTACCTCCAACCTGCTGGCTCTCTCTGTACTACCACTCTAGAAGACAGGATGGGATAGAAGAACTGTGTGTATTAGGTCTGTCTCTCTACAACCCCAGAGACTGAGTAGCCTGCTTGGAGATAGATCCGTGATTAGAGGAAATTTTCCCTTGTCTTCTTTTTCTCAAGTGTGTATTTCTTTGCTCCAGATTCCCATCTTCCTCTCTACTTTGAATATTAAGAGCTAAGCTTAGGTGATTTTGTACTACTAAAACAATAAAGATGTACAACTCAATATCCAGTTTAAATTGAAGAAAAATACAACAAGACTAACTTACTGTTTTGCTGGACACAAAATCCATAGAAAACTTGTCATTGTAACACTGAGGGAGAGACAGCTTTATCTATGCAAACCACTGACAAATATTGTGAGGTGAACACTGCTGAAAAGCGAGGCCCCAAGGTAGAACAAAAAGAGCACTGAACTTGTAATCAAGATTATCTGTCTCTGAGCTTGTAATTTACTACCTATGTCCTTTAGCAAATTTCAAACTCCCTGTGCCTCAGCTCCTTCATCTGTGAAATGGAGATAATTATACTGGTCCTTACCCACTTCACAAGGTTAGCATAATAACAAGAAAAAAAAAAAGGGATCACTTGCGAAAGTAGTTTGTAGACTGTGAAGCACTATGAGCGGTAGAATGGGATCACATTCGCTTCACTAAAGGAAAACCCCAAATTCCGATAGCTGACTTATTCCTCCAACAGAATACAACCATCCCTGAATACTGGTAACAGTTAAAAAAACTGCTCAGCAGGGCGCGGTGGCTCATGCCTGTAATCCCAGCACTTTGGGAGACCAAGGTGGGCGGATCACGAGGTCAGGAGTTCGAGACCAGCCTGGCTAACATGGTGAAATCCCGTCTCTACTAAAAATACAAAAATTAGCTGGGTGTTGTGGTGCACACCTGTAATCCCAGCTACCAGGGAGGCTGAGGCAGGAGAATGACTTGAACCCAGGAGGTGGAGATTGCAGTGAGCCGAGATGGTGCTACTGCACTCCAGCCTGGATGTCAGAGCAAGACTCCATCTCAAAAAAACAAAACAAAACAAAACTGCTTACAGCTTCCAGATGAGATGAAGAAAAGGTGCAGTAATGAGGAGTGATGACCATCAGCTTGCAGCACTGCGATACACTTTCTGTTTCATATAGAGAGACAATGACATTCTCTACCTCCCAACTATTCCTAGGAGAATTAAGCTGCTCCAACCATGACCATATAGGCATGATTTCACCAACTAGTGCCAGCCTTTCTACTTCTGTATTGGTTCCAGCTCGGTATCCCTAACTGCCTAACAGGTATTTCCACTTGGATGTCCACAAGCTCAATTTATTTATGTCAAAAAAAATCATCTTTCCCACCCACATTATTTTCCTGACTCTATTCCTGTCCTCTGTATCATTTTCCCCTGTCAGTTTTATTGAGGTATAATTGACAAATAAAAATTGTATATATTTAAGTTGTACATTGTGATGTTTTGATACATTATGAAATGATTATCCAATCAAGCTAATTAACATGTCCATGGCCTCAGTTATCTTTTTTTGGTGTAGTGAGAATACTTAAGATCTACTCTCCAAGCAAATTTCAAGTATATAAAATATTAACTATAGTCACCATGCTGTACATTAGGTCTCCAAAACCTGTTCATCTTATAACTGCAAGTTTGTGCCCTTTGACCATCATCTCCTCATTTTTCCCATCCTCTGACCCCTGGTAGCCATCCTCTACTCTCTTTTTCTATGAGATCCACTTTTCTGAGATTCCACACACTGGATAAACGAGATCATGCAGTATTTGTCTTTCTATGCCTGGCTTATTTCACTTAGTATAATGTCTTCCAGGTTCATCCATGTGGTTGCAAATAGCAGAACTTCAAGAAGGCTGAATAATATTCTGTCGTGTGTATGTAGGTATATAAACACACATATCACATTTTCTTTATCCATTCATCCACTGACAATCTGATTCCATATCGTGGCTATTGCAAATAATGCTGTGATGAACATGGGCATGCAGATACCTCTTTGAGATACCAATTTCATTTTCTTTGGATATATATCCAGAAGTGGGGCTGCTGGATCATATGGTAGTTCTATTTTTAAATTTTTTGAGGAACCTCTATACTGTTCTCCACAATGGCTGTACCAATTTACATCCCACTAATGATGTATAAGGGTTCCCTTTTTTCCACCTCCTCACCAACACTTGTTATCGTTTGACTTTTTGAGAATAGCCATCCTACCAGGCGTGAGGTGGTATCTCATTGTGTTTTGTTTTTTTTTGTTTTTGTTTTTTGAGATGGAGTTTCACTCTTGTCCCTCAGGGTGGAGTGCAATGGTGTGATCTCGGCTCACTGGTTCAAGAGAGTTTCCTCCCTCAGCCTCCCAAGGTAGCTGAGATTACAGGTGCACACCACCACATCTGGCTAATTTTTGTATTTTTAGTAGAGACGGGATTTTATTACGTTGGCCAGGCTGGTCTGAAACTCCTGACCTCAGGTGATCCACCCACCTTGGCTTCCCAAAGTGTGCCCGGCTCATTGTGGTTTTGATTTGCATTTCCCTGATGACTGTGATGTTGAGCACCTTTTTCATATACCTGCTGGGTGTTTGTTGGGTGTTTGTATGTCTCCTTTGGAAAAATGTCTATTCAGGTCCTTTGTCCATTTTTTATTTGGGTTATTTGGGTTTTTTTTTTTTTTTTTTTGCTATTGAGTTGTATGAGTTCCTTATATATTTTGGATATTAATGCCTTACTGAAAACATGGTTTGCAAATATTTTCTCCCATTCTGTAGGCTGCCTTTTCATTTTGTAGATTGTTTTCTTTGCTGTGCGTTATCACCTTCCTCTTAGCTATCTGTATTCAAATCTTGGTACTACTGACTCCGTCTTATGCCTCACTGTTAGTCTTCAAAGTGGAAACCTCTTGATTCCTTCTTCATTGCATTTGTCAAATTCATTTTTCACTTGCCATTTACATTGTCACCATTCATGCTTAAACTACTATAACAGTCTTTCTTCTTTCCTTTTTCTGTAATCTGTAGTAGACACAACAGGCAATACTACCTTCCTGTGGTTTACAGTACTCATATCATTCTCATACTCAAATTTTCAATAAGTCCATACAGCTTCCACAATAAAGGCTAAACTGTGCTAGCATTTAAGCTACCATCAGACAGATTTCTCAAGCCCAAATCTAATATTACTCTACTTAAAATACCTCCACGGGCCAGGCACAATGGCTCACGCCTGTAATCCCAGCACTTCGGGAGGCTGAGGCAAGCGGATCACTTGAGGTCAGGAGTTCGAGGCCAGCCGGACCAACATGGTGAAACCCAATCTCTACTAAAAATACAAAAAAAAAAAAAAAAATTAGCTGGTCATGGTGGTATGCGCCTGTAATCCCAGCTACTGAGGAGGCTGAGGCATGAGAATCAAATCGCTTGTACCCTGGAGGTAGAGGTTGCAGTGAGCTGAGATGGCGCCACTGCACTCCAGCCTGGGAGACAGAGTGAGACTCCGTCTCAATAAAAAATAAATAAAATCCCTCCATGAACTGGGGAAAATATTTGCAATATGTGTGACAAAAGGTTAATGTTCATAATATAAAAAGAACTTTTTAAAAGTCACAAGAAAAAGACAAAATGAAAACAGACATAGGACACAAATAGGTGATTCATACAATAAAAATGACTAATACATTTAAAAATATGATCACTTGTAACAAAAAACAAATTAAAAACATTTTCTAGCATGCACACTGGAGGATTAGAAAAGGTAAATTATTTTAAGAAAATTTAAAAAATATTTCATTTCTTAGATTGGTAAAAGTTGAAAACAGTCTTGTTAAGGATATGGGGAAAATGGCCTCTCAGACCCTACTGGTGGGAGTTTATTTCAAAGTGCATATACTCTGACCCATTTCTAGGAGTTCCTAAAGAAGTTTCACATAAATTTATAAATATGTAAATATGTTAGTTTGTAGCACCGTTTGTAATAGAGGAAAAAGGAATACCTCAAATACCCATCAATAGATAAAGGCCAGGCACAGTGGCTCACGCCTGTAATCCCAGCACTTCAGGAGGCCGAGGCGGGTGGATCACCTGAGTTCAGGAGTTCAAGATCAGCCTGGCCAACACAGTGAAACCTCGTCTCTACTAAAAATACAAAAAATTAGCCGGGCTTCTGGTGGCAGGTGCCTGTAATCCCAGCTACTGCAGAGGCTGAGGCAGAATTGCTTGAACCTGGGAGGCAGAAGTTGCAGTGAGCTGAGATCATGCGACTGCACTCCAACCTGAGCGACAGAGCGAGACTCCGTCTCAAAAAAAAAAAAATAGCTTGGCAACATAAATTATTAATATATCCATATAGTCCTATGCAACAATGAAAAGGAATGAGCTGGAACTGTATGTTCTTAGATGGGAACATAGCCAAGATACATTAAAAAGAAAAAAGCAAACTACAGAAAGCCAAGTATGAGCCTGTTTATTTTATTTATTTATTTTTTTAAGGGGAATGGTTCATAGCTAATACCGTATATGTAGAGAAAAACCTGAAAGGATACTCAAACTCTTAATCAAGTTATCCTTCAGTGATGAAATTAGAGGAAAATTCTCTTATTTATTTGTTTGTTTGGAGATAGAGTCTTGCTTTGTTGCCCATGCTGGAGTGCAGTGGCACGATCTTGGCTCACTGCAACCTCTGCCTTCTGGGTTCAAGCAATTCTCTTGCCTCAGCCTCCTGAGTAGCTGGGACTACAGGCTTGTGCCACCACACCCAGCTGATTTTTGTATTTTTAGTAGAGATGGGGTTTCACCATGTTGGCCAGGATGGTCTTGATCTCTTGACCTTGTGATCCACCCGCCTTGGCCTCCCAAAGTGCTGGGATTACAGGCATGAACCACCGCACCCGGCTTTTTATTTTTATTTTTTGAGACAGAGTCTTGCACTGTTGCCCAGGCTGGAGTGCAGTGGCATGATCTTGGCTCACTGCAACCTCCACCTCCTGGATTCAAGCAACTCTCTTGCCTCAGCCTCCTTAGTAGCTGGGATTACAGGCATGCACTACCACACCTGGCTAATTTTTGTATTTTTAGTAGAGATGGGGTTTTGCCATGTTGGCCAGCCTGGTCTTGAACTCCGGACCTCAAGTGAGCCACCCGCCTCGACCTCCCAAAGTTCTGGGATTACAGGTGTGAGTCACTATGCCTGGTTCCTTTTTAAAAATGTCTATAATTTGAATTTTAAAAAACAGTGTTTATTCTTGGCCCTACTACCAACTAGCTGTGTGACCTTGGGCAAGTTCCTTAACCTTTCTACTACTCAGTTTTCCCATCTTTGGTAGGTACAATAATGACTCCCCCAAAATGTCCATGTCCTAATTCCTGGAATCTGTGAATACGTGAGCAGCGAGTAACGTTGCTAATCAGCTGATCTTGAGGTGGGATAATTAACCTCGATTGTCCCAGTGGGCCTAAGGTAATCACAAGGGTCCTTAAACGTGGAAGAGGAACCAGGCATGGTGGCTCATGCCTGTAATCTTAGCACTTTGGGAGGTCGAGGCAGGTGGATTGCTTGAGGCCAGAAGTTCGACACCAGCCTGGCCAAATGGCAAAACCCTGTCTACTAAAAACACAAACATTAGCTGGGCGTGGTGACGCATGCCTGTAATCCCAGCTACTCAGGAGACTGAGGCATGAGAATCCCTTCAACCCGGGAGGCAGAGGTTGCAGTGAGCTGAAATAGTGCCACTGCACTCCAACCTGGG